>NC_000014.9:72490500-72642016 GCF_000001405.40 Homo sapiens | reverse complement strand
GAACAGAGGCTTCCCTCAGCTCCTTGCCATGTGGGCCTTTCCATGAGGCAGCTCACAACACAATAGCTGGCTTCCTCCAGAGTGAGTGATCGGAGACAGACAGAGACATAGAGACAGAGTGCACAGTCAAGACAGAAACCACAGTGCCTTTTATAACTTAGTCTCCAAAACTGCATATTGTCACTCCTCTTTACTGTGTTTGTTAAAAGCAAGTCATTAAACCCAGTCTACATTCAAGAAGAGGGGAATAGCCTCCACTTCTTGAAAAGAGGAGGACCAAGGAATTTGTGGGCATTTTTGCAAAGCACTGCAGCCACCAACATTGCTGCCTGCCACCATTTCTGTCCTCACCTCACCATTCCGTTTGGCTCCCAGTGCTGCTCCTCCTACCTTTGGCCCCAACTTCCCTCCTGGAGAATTTTCATCACTGCCACTTGATCAGACTCTGGGGCTGTGGGAGAAGCCTCCATCAGGACCTGCCCCAGCCTTGTGGGCAAGGCTCAGTCACCTAGGACTGAAGATCTTCGATCCAAGGTCAGAAAGAAAGGCACGGCTTCCAGTGGGATTTGATTCATCGCCGGGGGAAGGACAGAAACTGAGGCTGGCAGGGCCTAGCTTTGGCCCCAGAATCTACATCAGAAAATGATTCCTGCTATGAGTGAATGGAGTTAGGTAAAGACAATGTTCCTGAGATCATTGTGCACGGTGCTTCCAAGCTTGAGAGTGCTGGACAAAGCCTGCGGCAGAAGAAGCATGTTGTGAGGCCATCTGTGTATGAGTTCTTCTCTCTGCGCTGCTGAAGCCATCAGTGATTTGGAGAGGCATGAGGGCCCATTGCTACTAGTGACTGTGTTAGTTCTCATCACCAATGGCTCACCCAGGGCAACACGTTCTCTTTGTTTCTTATCTTACTTCATCTGTCACTTGATGGTGGTGCCACCCTTCCTCTTCCTTGGATGTCATGAGGTGCCTCTCTCCAGATACTTCTCCCTTTCTGACCACATTGTCTCCAGCTTTCTCAGTGGACTCTCTTCTTGGTGCTCTTTAACGCTTTCAACTCCAATGGTTACTCTTCCCTCTACCCCTAACTAGGTCCTTTTTATTTTGTGCTCTGTGGTCTCTTCCTGAATGTCTCACCAACTTCCAAGGCTTCATCTACCACCCAAACCTGATGATTTCTAAATTTATATCTCTAGCCTGGTCTTGTCTCCTGAATGTAGACCCACATTTTCACACCAATTCCTGGGCATCTTCATCTGCACAATTAATGGAATGTGCCCAGTTTGAATCCATTGTTATACTCTGCAAGTCGCATCTCTGCTAACAGTTTTATCATCTACTCTGTGGCCCAACCTAGGAATCTTGATGCCATTTTTTACTTCTGCCTCTTCCTCACACACATATTCAAGCAGGTATCACGTCCTATTGACCAATTCTACCTCTCAAATGTTTCCTCCTTTCATCCCCACAATTATTAGATCTGCCCTGGACTAATGCCCCTCATTACAGTGTAAGCTCCAGAAGGGTAGGATTTTGTCTGTTTTCCATTGCTCAGCATCTATCACAGCACCTGGCACATTGCAAGTGCTCAATACAAACTCATTGAATAGATGGATTTAGTGACTGGTCCCCCTTCCCCAGCCATCTCCAACACATCTGCCTTCTGACCTATCACCAGACTCATCTCTCTAAAGCATGGGTACAAGCACATCAGTTTCTTGCTTAAAAACCTCCGAGGAGTCCCCACTGTTTACAGAATTAAATTCAGATCCTCATGCCTACATAAGAGGCTCTTCATAATCTTTCCTCATACCTTTCTAGCATCATCTCCTGCAATTCCTCTTTTCCCTGCTCTCCTTGAGCTACTCTGCTTTGCCTGAGTGGACCATGCACCTTATATTTCCTGCTGTTGCCTTTCCCTGTAATGCTGTTTCCATTTTTTTTTTTTTTTTTTTTTTTTTTTTTTTTTTACTTAGAAAACTCCTATTTATCCTTTAAGGCCCAGCTTGAAAGCTACCTCCTCTCAGTGGCTTTCCCTGAGCCTCTCCAGCATTATTTATTGCTTCCTTATCTGTAGGAACTTCATTCATTCTCCTATTATGGCACTTATCACATTGTATTATAGTCATTTAAAAGAGTCTCTCTCTCTATATATAATAGTTATCTGTGTAAGAAATTACTCCAAAACTCAACAGCTTAAAACAACAAACACTTATTATCTCATAGTTTCTGTGGGTCAGGAATCTATGTGTGTTTTATCTGGGTGCCTCTGGCCCAAGGCCTCCCTTGGGTTGCAGTCAAGTTGTCAGCTGGGGCTGTGGTCTCATCTGAAGGCTCACTTGGGAGATAATTCAATTCCAAGCCCACACGTGTGGGTTCTGGCAGGATTCAGTTCCCCTTGGGCTGCTGCACTGAGGCCTTCCTTCATATGTTGCCACATGGACCTGTCTGTAGGGCATCTCACAATATAGCAGCTGGCTTCCCTTAGAGCAAGTAAGTGAGAAAGCATAAGAGAGGATTCGGAAGATGAAAGTTGCAGTCTTTTTATAACCTAATATTATAAGTGACATCTCATCACTTCTGCCATATTCTACTAGTTTGAGGTGAGTCATTTAGTGCAGCCCACACTCAAGGGGGGAGAATGACAAAAGAGTATGGTGTCCTTCATTGATAGCCACGCCAGAGACTGCCTAGCACACCTACCAAACTGAGCTCCTCAAGGCAGGAGTCATGCCTCATTCCTCTTTGAAACTTCAGCACCTTGTACAGTTCCTGGCAATGAACAGGTGCTCAGTGAATTTTGCCAAATTAAGTGGAATTATTTTTCTATGAGAATCTGATCACAATTGGGTAGATTGCAAAGTCCACAAGAACACTCAAAATTAGACTAAAATGATTTAAAAATGGCGCACTGGCTCATGCCTGTAATCCCAGCACTTTGGGAGGCCAAGGCAGGCAGATCGCAAGGTTAGGAGATCGAGACCATCCTGGCTAACACGGTGAAACCCCGTCTCTACTAAAAAATACAAAAAATTAGCCAGGCATGGTGGCGGGCGCCTGTAGTCCCAGCTACTCAGGAGGCTGAGGCAGGAGAATGGCGTCAATCCAGGAGGCAGAGCTCGCAGTGAGCCAAGATCACGCCACTGCACTCCAGCATGGACGACAGATCAAGACTCCGTCTCAAAAAAAAAAAAAAATGTAAAACAAAGTGTCTAAGTGTCATGAGTACACTGTCAGTCCTCTACTTCTAGGTACTTCTATGATTGCTTCCCAGGCTCACGTAGAAAAGGATAGGAAAGCATTTTTTCCTTTTGACTTAGCACAACTCTGTGGAATATTTTTTGGAAGAAAAAATTAGAATGCTACTTCAAAGGTCCTCAGGCAACTCAAGAACTTAGACCACTCATGAATTCATCTTCTAATTCATGGATGATCAGCAGTTGGAGGATCATGGGCAATCAAGTGTTGACCAATCACTGCTGTTTTCCACCAGCTATACATCAATTACAGACATTTTGAAATTCTCCTGGATGTACTCAGGACAGTAGGAAGTACAGGGATTACAGGGTTTCCAATCTAAGCAATGGTTTCTTTTTCAGGCTCATTTTCCTAAAGAAAACACAGAGCCTTTAGCCAGGTCCCATGGTTGGATGCTCCTGAGGTCCAGAGAGGCCTGGAATGCACAGCAAATGTCAAGGCTTGGCATCTAAAATTGATGTTGGGCTCTGGGCAATGATTCAGCCGCCTGACCTTCACACACTGTTGTGGGGCAAGAATCACTTTGGGCAGCTGGTTGCCTGCAATCTACAAATCCAGAGAAGCATTTAAAAGGAAAGTCATCCAGAGTTGCTCATACCGATGACCCTCTTCTCTTAGTCACTTCCTGCCTGGCAATATCTGCAGCTGTCACACAGCAGCTCAACCTAGCTCATCCCAGATCTAATATTCCTCATCGATGGAACCTTACCCAAGGCCTCTGTCTACCTTCAGTTTATGACAGCTCATCTGTATAGGCCTAACTTATTGCATGGCGGTGGGTGGTATGGTTGATGAAAAGTCCTTTAGATTTCTAGATTTCTTTTGCTTTCTGTCTTGGCCATCTTTTGTTGTGTCGACATTGGATCGGACTGGGCTGGTCAATATGGGAAAGTTGACATGAATTCTAGAAGGACTTACTGGCTATTTTAATTTCTTTCTTAGTTTTTTTCTTTTTTAACTTTCAGTTTTAGCTGGCAAACTTTAGAAGGCTTGTTTATCCCACCAAGCAGATGGGCAATTGGGGATCAGTAGTATCTTTAAAAATACCATTTTTGGGTGGCATAGACAAAGCTACAGCTTCATGGATAGCAGATTCCAATGCTTTAACTTAATATATTGAAAAACTAATGCTAGAGAAGTCAATTGACTTGTCCAAAGGACTCAGGTGCTGTAATATATCTCAAAGTGTGGCAGTTGTAAATTGAGGGCAGGGGTTTGGATTTTCTCACTGCTATATCCCCAGTACCTGGAAGAGTGCCTGCCATATTTATATATTCAACAAATACTGTCAAAGGAATGAATAAATGAATAAATTATTTTTGATCCTCAGCTGCAGTGACTAATTAGGGGCTTTGGGGTCATTACTATGACTCTCAACGTATTCCTAGTGCTGTGCATTGGCCCCAAGTTGAGTCGAGTAAATTGTATAAATCCAGGTCAAGGCTTCCCTATCCCATTATTTCACTTTAAGAAGACCAACCATGATGTATGCCCTCAGGCTTATAGACAGGTGTAGATCCACTTCCTAGAGACTCCACCTTGGACCACACCTGACCACGAAAACTTGGGGAATTTCTAGGACCATTTGAGAATGGCGCCATGAGCCCTTGGCTGTTTAGCCTATTAAAAGTGCCCGTAATACTCTTGCATGAATGTGCTTTGTATGGTTATTTATAAGAATGACTGGTGCAATAGCCCCTGGGGCTTGCATCCCATGTGTTTCCTGGGTGCCACAGACCTTGACAACTGGAGGAGAGGATAAACAAACCTCTAAGAGGAGTGGAGCTGGATGCACAGGAAGGTGTTTTGCCCAAGAAAGGGCAGCCACACAGCTCACGCTATCATTTATTTTTAATGCATTTTTGTTTGTTTGGTATTTGTCCTTTCCATTCTCTTTCTCTTCTTTGTCCTCTTTGAAGTGCAATAAAAATGGTGAGAGAAAAAGGGAGCCATTCAGATGCCTCTGGAGTGCCATTGTGATCATCGATTTGCAGGTGTCTTCAGCATTAGAAGTAACATCTGGGGGCAGATAGAGGTGAACCTGCAGACCTTTGCAGAAGGTTTACAAAGCAGGGCTTGAGAAATAATTATGTGAAGCAGCAGTGCCCAGTTATCATACTTGCCATAGTATATACATAAAGGAGTTGAACTTTTGATTGCTCAGAATTGGTCCATCCCTTTCCCCTTTACAGATTCAATATAATGACTGAGCCTCCTTCTCTCCACCTGCCAAGCTGGGTCTCAAAGTGGAGGAGCATGAAGAGAGGGGGAGGGAATGGGGCAGAGAGAGAGACAGAAGAGGGAGAGAAGAGAAAGAGAGAAGAGAGGAGTGAGAGAATGAAAATGAATGGATCTGATTGAATGAGATGGCTTCCCAAAGAGAACTAGTAATAATTTTTCTTCTCAAATTACCCTGTAGCATGATGATTCAGATATGACTATACTTTGCATAAATGCTTTAGCTAAAACTTCATATATACATTTGCAATTTGTAAATACCAGGAATTTTATATGTGTATGAGAATATAGAGAACTATTTGAAATTTGAGCCAAATTATTTTCTAATGAATGCCCATGGAGACTTGTTTTTGGCGCTATTTTGGGTTGGAATTGATTCTATGTATTTTATGTAATACAATTTCTGTAAACCAAGCATCAGAATAAGGAGCACAATTTGAGTTTTGCATTTACTTGCCTGAGAACCATGGATATTTAAGTTCTCTTTGCCTGAGAAATTAGCTTTTAAGAGATCAACATTGATAAATAAGGTAATAAAGTATAATTAGATGTTTATAATTTCACAATGAATAAATAATAGACCATGCTGATTCCAAAGTTATTTATATTTGTTTTATTTATGTTTTCAATGCATACCTAGGAAGATAATTTTTTTTCCTGGAGCCCTAATTCAATCAGTGATGTGGCTTAGCCTAGTCCAAATTAAATACCGGTGATAATAAAATAAAAACTCTTTTAATAAGGATCATAATGTAAGAGACACATGTCATAGCAGTTTGTGTATTTCTTTTGCCCAGGGTTTGTTGAAAATGAACTGTGTTTCTCTCAATGTACTGAATATCTATAGAGGAGGTTGACTAGTAAGTGACTTAGGTTAGCTTTTAAGTTGCAATCATAATGTCAGCTTAATCCACAAGGTATATTTAGATATTTTCTCCCCTAAAAGGCTGGAAATACCCTTGTGTTGGGGCAGTTGTGTATTAGCGTGCATAGAAATTGGCAGCTGTGAATATGAAACTAACACTAGTTTTGCCTGGATATTTATCTGTGTGCCTTCTCACTCAAATACCACAAATCCCATTTGCTGTCCCTTGAACATTTTCAGCATCTGTGCACATGTTTCTGTAAAGACATGAGATGTGTCCTTCCAGTGCCAAGGCTGCTGTCACTGCTCTCAGATGCCTGCCTTTCCTTTTTTACTGAGCTCAGTAGGCTGTAGTGTCAGAAACACCGGGTACTCCCAGCCTCATGGATTATCATCTGTCTGAGAAGTTTCCCATAACCCATTGGTTTCCCTTTCCCTCCATCTGCTGAAATAGCACCCTGAAGCCAAATGCTGATCTCCCAAAAGCCCACTCCAGCAGTTAGATCTCCCATACATAGTGGCCATGGGTGACATACCCAGTGTCAACCTCTAGGGAGGATTGAGGTCAGTTCTGGAAGGGTTAGGGCTGAATCAGGAATGGCTCTTCACACCAAGTTCACCACTGACCCAGCTCAATAAGCTAGCAGGAGATTTACTGAATGCTCCTGATAGAATACATTTAGAGGAACATCCGGGAAGGACTAGGTTTTTAATGATCCGGCTGGGCTGAATCATGCACAGTGCACCATTTTCTAAATTCATTTTGGTAATTGGAATCTTATAAATGCTCTGTTGAATCATGGCACCCAGGGGGGCCTGGGAAGGGTTGTCTTCCCTCCACTATAGTAGGCTATTTAAATAGCAATATGGGTATTTCTTGCTCTAAAGAAAACTGGGGCTATGAAAAAATCTAGATTTCCAAGCAAGTATTAGGTTGGTGCAAAAGTAATTGCAGTACTTGCCATTAATGGCAACAACTGCAATTACTTTTGCACCAGCCTAATACCCTAGAGAATGAGGGTTAACTTTACAAAAGAGATTAAGATAGGGATCCTCAAATATCAAGTGACCATAAGTATTACAAATTACCTTATAGCCATGTGCCTCTTTTTTTCTTTCACCTTTGAATTGGAAAGACCGTATTTGTTATTCTCTTACTTTCAAAGCATTTAGGAATTAGTTCTGGGCAAAAGTAAGACCAGTGAACCTTAGAAACAAGCTGCTATTACTTTCCTTAGACACTTCTTTTTGTCTAACAGTGTGTATTATTGAAGTAATTTTTGTGGCAGGTAAGAAGTCTCATTCTTGCAGTTTTGTCTGGCAAATGATTTCTGCAGTTTTTGGAGAAAGGCGCAGGAGCAAATCTGTTATGGTGGTCCAGACAGGAGGATTTAGTTCTGGGCACAGTTTTTGCACCTGCTGATGACTTAAACTTTTTGTGTCTCACCCTCCCTGGCTGAGAAGTTACAATAGTATTTCCCTCCCCTACTTTCTTCTTGCGCTTGAGTGATGTCCTGAGTGTGGAGGAGAAGGAGTTCCTGCAGCCACTGCTAAGGCCCATCTTAGTCCTGCATTTTGTCGGGGGCTTGAGGCTGTGTGAACTTAGCTCCCTTGCTTCGGGTTTGAAGATCTTCAGGAGGCTGATGACTTTCTCAAGATGGGAACACAGAGAAAGCCATGAGATTGTTTCAGAAACTTCCAACAGGCATTTCCAAAACCCACTTGCTACCATCCATTGTCCAAAGCTATCCCAGAAAATGTCTTCATAGCTCAGCACAGGAGTCTTAGAGAACTAAGACACAGAGCTGGCTCTCGATAAATATTGGTGGAGTGTTGCTACATGCATGCAGCACACGCCACCCCCGGCCCCTCCTCACAGAGACAGCTCAGATGCACATTTGGCTGCTGAGTTCTGTCATGCTCTGGAATGTGCTGACTTTCCTTCCTTGGGAAGATGGCATGACTGAAGCGTGTTATTATTAGTAGGGTAGCTTTTGCCCTGATCTGTCAACATTCCCTCACTCGGGGTCTTTATTGAGCAAGGACAAACTAGAGAACCTGTGGCAGTAAACACAGTTGACCACCTTCTCCTTCTTGAAACCTCTTCTTTTGGTTACTGTGACCCCATACTCACCCGATTTGCTTCTTACCTCTTGCCATGTTTCTCTCTTTCCTTTGCTGGTTCTTTCTTTTGATCTTGGAGGACTTGAGCTCCTCCAAGCTCAGTCCTAGACCCTTTTCTCTATTCTCCTTTCTTCTCTCCTCTTCCTTTCTTTCCCTAGATACTTCCTCATTCCCTTTTCCCTAGATAATTTCATTAATTCTCATGGTTTCACTTATCACCTATTTAGCAAAAACTTCTGAATTTCGACCCATACATTCAACTATCCACTCAACATTTCCACCAGAATTCTCAGTTTCAGCATGCTCAACACAGAAGGAATCCTCTTCCTCTATGTGGTCCCTGCAATCCTTCTACAGTCTTTCTCATCTAAGTTTCACTGTAATCTACAATCTACCTAGTTTCATGGGTCAGAACTTGGGATTATTTCTCATCATTTTCCCATATTCCCAACATTCAAACAATAGTCAAGTCCTGTCAAGTATTTCTTTAACATTTCTCAAATTTCCACCTTAGTTGAATCATTCTTGTATCTCTCCTGGTAGCTGCATTAGCCTCCTAACTAGCTTCCTGGCAACAATTCTTACATTCCTGTACCCTCCCACCCCTCAACAATTCTTTCCTTAGCGTACAGCCCCTTCATCCTTCCTTCCTCCCTTCCCCTCCCCTTCTCTTGTCCTTCCCCCTCCCCTCTCCCTTTCCCCTCCCCTTCCCCTCCCTTCCCCTCCTCTTCCTCTCTCCTTCCCATCCCCTTCCCCTCTTCTCTCCCCTTCCCCTCCCTCCATCCTTCCCTCCTTCCCTTCTTTCCCTTCCTTCCCTTCCTTCCCTTCTGTCCCTTTCATCTCTTCCCTTCTCCTTCCTTCCTTCTTTCCTTCCCTCCCTCCTTCCCTCCCTTCCTCCTGCTTCTTTCCTTCCTTCCTTCCTTTCTTCCTTCCCTCCTTCCTCTCTCTCTCCTTTTTCTTATCTGCCTTCCACCTTCCTTTCTTTTTGATGATTTAATTTTTTATTTGTTTTCCTTATTTAAAAATATATTTTCAACTATTTATTTTGACATAATTATAGCTTCATAGGAAGTTACAAAATATATTACAAAAAGTCCTTGAGCTCGTCACTCAGTTTTCTCCAAGGGCAACATCTTATGTAATTATAGCACAATATCAAAACCAGGCAATTGATATTAATGCAATCATAGACTTTATTCAGATGTGACTAGTTTTACATGTACAAATACATATGTGTATGTGTATGTACAGTTCTATGCAATCTTATCACATATGTAACCACCACAATCAAGATACAGAACCACTTCATCCCAATAGCACTCATGCTAAAGAGTGCTCCTTTAAAAACAAAATGTGACCCACTTACTGCCTTGCTTAATAGCCTTTAATGACTTAAAAAACAGATTCTTAAATAAGGGCTGCAAATGCCTGTAATCCTTCTCCAGCTACCTCTGCAGCTACCTCTTACCCCTTTCCTTTTGCTCATCAAGCCTCTGCTCACTGGCCTTTCTCTTCCTTGTAATTTGCTAAGCTGCTTCACTGCTCAAAGCCTCCACCCATGCTGTTCCCCTTACTTGGAATCCTCCTCTTCCCACCTAGCTAACGTCTCATCTGACACATATCAGCTTAAAGATCTTTCTCAGGGAAGGTTTCCTTGTCATCTCAGTCTAGGTTAGGTTCTTCTATGTGTTTTTACGGCCAATTATGCTTTTCCTTCATGGCACTAATTATACAATTGTAGTTGATAGATACATGTGTAGCTGATTAATCTGAGGCCTCTTTGGCTAGGCTGGAAGGGCTCAAGGTATCTTGCTCATCCCCACTGTGTCTTTTCTGTCTAGCACAATGGCCTGCCTTGTAGGTGCTCAATAAGTACTTCGTAAGTTAATGAATAGTTATCCTAAGCTGGCTGGGTGTGGCTGGGGTGTGGCACAGAACTGGCCAAAGTCAACTTGCCTATATGAGCATCAGCTCCATGACCTCATGTTCATGCTCTCAGTGGTGCCTGGTCAGAGAAACTGGGCATCTGTGGTCATACCACATGGAGTCCCAAACAGATATTTCCTACCCTGTACCCATCCCAGTGTTCTCTCTGAGAGACTGGAATAGGGAGTAACCCTGGCTAATGTTCTTCTTAGACCAATCTTTGAGATGCTTTCAAGAATATCAGCTGGCTGTTCACACAGGCTTTTAATGTAAGGCTTCTTTTTCTTTGGGGCCACTGTGATGGTATCACCTTGAGAGGGTTATTAGTTCAGAGCTGCGGAAGTCTCTAAGTTGGATGGTACCTGAGAAGTCCTTGAAAAGCTTTTAGATCAGGCCTCTCCTTGCTGCTTCTGCCTGTATTCACTGAGTGTCCCCTCCCCACCACCAACAAGTCATTTCTACACCCCTCGCCCTCTCCAAGATAACTCAGCATGGTTTCTATTTGTGGAGCTCAAAATGTGAAGGATCCTTATGTTGGCTGAATAGACAGTATTTCATCCAAATGGTCATGATGTGAACAGCTCTCTGAAGATTTGAAAGGGAGGAAATGGGGGCTCCTGTTAAGATGTGGCTTTGCCAAGGGGTGGTGGCGCCATGGGGGATCCTGTCTGTGGAGGATACTAGGTTGGCGGTGCTAACCATGATTGGTGTCCCCTGTCTCTAGCATCCTTCTTTAAAGCATATAATCCTTCAAATGAAAGAGGCAACACAAGGCACCATATAATGGGTTTGGCAGAACTGGAAGCTCTGGAGAACGGTGAGTGCTCGGCACTGGGCAAAGCTGTCAATGTTTTTTGTGACAGAGTCAGTAATTGGCTTTGCCCTGGGTGTTCTGGGCAGATTCTGATCTGTTTCACAGTACTGGGCGACTTGGGAATGTCATCCAAGTTATCCTTCCATGCCACATAGAAGGCCAAGGGTCTTTGCATTCTACAGTTCATGGCCGTCCTCTCCCTGCAAGCATCTCTCTTTTAGGTGACCTAGGTCTGAGGACAGAGTCCAGTTCCACAGGCCAAGTCTTGGGCATGGCTCACGGGGGCTGTGCTTGAAGGTCACAGCTTAATGTCCCTTCTCTCATCTTGTGATTGGGTTGGCTCCCATGAAACTTGGGATGGAGAAAAGAGTTAGAACCGGGAACCAGTCCTTTTAGGATAGACCTGGCCATTTGCTCTGATGCTCCATTTCTTTGCCATCCCTGCCAGGCCACTTCCTTCTGTAGTCCGTGGTACTGTTCAGGATATGAACTTTTGCTAGTCTCATGAGTGTGGGCATGGATACTTTAGGTAACAGTGCAATGCCTCATCCTATCCCTGAGCACTGACCCTGGAAACCTCATACAATCCTTCTGATAGCCTCCCTTGCACCCTAAGGCAGTGTGAATAACTGGTTGGATCAGAAGGCCCAGCTCCAAATAGTTCTTACCTGTTGTGCTGCCATAGCTGATGCTGGGGCTTGGAGGGTCCCACTGGTGTCTCTCATAGTGCTGCCCCAGGCTGTGTACTCTGCAGTTTCCTCTCTCGTTCTCTCTGATCATTGTTTTCCATCTTCATCAACTGGTTACACCTGCTGGGGAATATGGTCTCAGTGCAAGCAGAATTGGATGTGCTTATATCTCTGTTTTGCCCTTGATCTGAATAACTGGGTGGTGAAGAATGTGGGTAGGGCCCTGTTTGGGTCCCCATTTTTTTCCCTACGTCATGCTACCCTGCCCTGCCTGCACACTGGGCATCAATGTGTTTCCAGTGAGTGGTGTTGAGGGGTGGCAGTTCATACTTTGGCCCTAATGCTGTTGTTTCTGGCTTCCTCCAGGTCACCCAACCTGCCTGCAGTTTACCCTGAACATGACCGAGGCTGTCAAGACCTACAAGTGGCAGTGCATAGAGTGCAAATCCTGTATCCTCTGTGGGACCTCAGAGAATGATGTGAGTTTGGGGCTTTCCCTGTGGGAGGGAGAAATCCACAGAGCTGGGGTCCTTTGAGGGGTGAAGAGGAAGGAAGGACTCTTGTCACTAGGCCCCTGGGGCCTGTTACCCTGGCACTTGGGAGCAACCTGGCCATTAGCCCTTGAGGGCTCAGAGACTGACAGTGGTCAACACTGCTTATGGCAGGGATGTATTTGATTGTTTCCACCACATTCCACAGTATATGATCTCATTTGGTCTAAATGTTAAATATAATAAGTGCAAAATTTTCAAGAACATTTTTTATTATGGGCAATTTCAAACATATACAAAGGCAGAGAGAATAATAGAATTGATGTAAACCATCACCAGCTTCGACAAAGATCAGTACACGTCCAATCTTATTTCATAAATACCATGACCTCCCTCTCCATAGTCTCCGTCATAATATCATTTTTACCTGTAACTACTTCATATGTATCTCAAAAGGATAAGGACTTACTTTTATACCTAAATAACCAAAATATTACATAGCTAAAAAATCAATAATTCCTTAGTACAATCAAACATCCAGTCGTCTCATATTTCCTCAGTTGTCTCATAAATGTTTCTATTACAGCCTGTTTATTTGAATTGGGATTCAAATAAGGCCCATACATTGCAATTAGTTGATATGTCTTTGAAGTTTATTTAAATATCTGTAGGTGCATATAAACTTACATATAGCTTCTTTAAATAACACATAGACTTTTCCCTCCATCTTATTCTCTTTCTTCCTCCCTTAAATTCTTTGTTGAAGAAATCAGATCATTTGTTCAAGTTCTCATGACTGTATTTGACTGAGTATATCTCTGTGCTGTCTGACATTTTCCTCTGTCTCTTGAATTTCTTGTCAATTGTTAGGGCTAGAGGCTTGATTCAGATTGTCTGTCTCTTTTTCTGTGTCTGTCTTTATCTCTCTCTCTCCTCTCACCAACTCTGTCTCCATCTCTCTCTCTCTCTCTCTCTTTTGGCAAGACTACTTCATAGATGGTGGTGTACACTTTCATCAGGATGTATAATGCCTGATGTTTCTCTTTTTGTAAAGGTAGCATCTATTGATGACCTTTGACTGGATTGACTATTTTGTTAGGGGTTGCAAAATAGTGATATTCTTATTGGATAATTTCTTTTTTGTTTATTGCTGGAGTAATTCCAGGAAGATAAACTTGCCCAATCTTTCATTTGGTTACCTTCAGGTGTAGATCATATAGAAATGGCAGGAAAAAAATGCTTGATTCTTTCCCTTTGTCAGTTTTAAAAAAACAGTGTGGTTAAAATATCTATTTATGATAAAAACATTAAAAATAGTGATTGTGGGATATCTTCTTAACATGATAAAGTATTTGTACCTTAGAACTAAAGCCAGTATCTTATTTAATGAGGAAAACACTAGGCACAATTCCACTAAGATTAGGAACCAGGGGAGGATGCTCACTATCTCTATAACTATGATTCGACACTATTCTAGAGACATTACCTAATGCAATTAGACAGGAGAATTTAATTAGAGATGTAAGAATGGATAACAAAGTAATAAAACTCTATTTTTGTATTATATGATAGTATATCTGGAAAACCTTAGAGAATCAATGATAAGCTAACTCAAACATAAAAGGTAACAGATTATAAAACTAACACACATAATTAACAGCCTTCTCATATACAAACAATAACCAGTTAGAGAACATAATTCCATTTATAATAGCAACAAAGAAGAAATACTTAGGGATATATTTAACAACAAATGTGCAAAACCTATATAAACAAAACTTTTAAACACTTTTCAAAAACACAAAGAACAAATTGAAAGGCATCCTATGATCTTGGATAGAATGACTTGACATTATAAAGATGTCAGTTCTTCCTGAGTTAATTTATAAATTTATCTCAGGTCCAATAAAAATATCAACAAACTTTTTTTATGGAGTTAGACAAATCGATACTTAAGTTCATATGAAGAAACAAACATGCAAAAATAGGCAAGAAAATACTGATAAACAAACTGTGATGGAAACTAGCCCTACCAGATATTAAAACATACTGTAAAGCCTCTATAGATAAAACAGTGTGGCACTGATGCATGAGGAGAGAAATAGACCAGCTGAGATAGAATAGAAAGCCCATAAATAGATCCAACTACATATGGAAATACAGTATAGGGTAAGGGTCACATCTAAAATTACTGGGTCAGAGACAGACTTTTAAATGAATGGTGCTGGGACAATGGGGTAGCCATTTGAGAAAAGACAAAATTAGATTTATATCTTACACCATACATAAAAATAATCACCAAATACATTGGGGATCTAAATGTACAAAGTAAAACCACGCTAGTACTAGAAGAAAGCACAAGTAAATTCCTCTTTAATCTAAATACAGGAAAAGGTTTTCAAACTGTGACTCAAAATCCAGAAGCAATTAAATAAAATGTTGGTATATCTGACTACATAAACATTTTGCATAGTCAAAAACATGATAAAGTCAAAAGACAACTGACAAACTGGGAGGAAATTTTGGCAGCATGTACCACAGTTTAAGGGCTAATTCCCTATATAAAAAGAAGTGTTAAAAATTGAGGACAAAGGACCAGAAACCTGATAGGAAATGAGAAAAATACATGAAAGACAACCCACAAAAGATATAAAAATGACCCTTAAAGATGCAAAAAAAAAAAAAAGTTCAAATGCACTCACAAAGAAACTCAAAGCTGAGATATCATTTCTTACTTATCAGATGGGCAAAAGTTGAAAAGTATGACAATATATCCTGTTGATGAAGCTATGGGAAAAATGGTGCCTTCATACATTGTTGGTGGGAATACAAATTAGTACAACCCTGGGGAGGGAAATTTGACAATACCTAACAGAGCTAATATGCACTTAACTTTTGACTAAGCATTCTCACCTACAGGAATCTACCTTGAAGATATACCTGCAACATGATGGAATGCATAAGGTTATTTGTGGTAGCATTGTTCATTACTACAGAATATTGGAAACAACCTAAATATCCATATATGGAAGAGTAGTTGTTGAATAAACAATGGCACAGCCATACAGTGGAGTACTATACAGCTGTAAAAAAGAATAAGGCAGATGTCTATGAATTGATTTGGAGTGATTTCCAGAATATATTAAGTAAAAAAGCAAAGTAAAATAGAATATCTATAGTATGCTGACCTTATTGTAAGAAAAAAGAGACATAAGAAAACCTACATGCATTTGCTCACTTGTGTAAAAGAAATATAAGAAGAATAAACAGGATGCTAATGAGACTGGTTACCTACACGGGTCTGGGAGAATGGGGTAGAGAAAAATGGGAAAATGAAAATGGGATAGTAGGGATAAGGGAGAAACAACACTTCTTTGAGAATACTTTCTTGTATAGCTTTGACTCTTACAACCATCATAAGGTTTTACATACCTCCCAAATAGATAAATACTTAAAATCAACCAAGATGTAGGGAAAAACTAAAATGAAATAAAAACAGTAACAAATAAACAGTATAACGTAAATAGATAATGTAACTATACCGAAGAGTGAGGAAGAAAAGAATAACCTAAGTAACTTTGGAAAACAGTATTTTGACTGTGTGTTGTAAAGCTAAGGACAGAAATAACTGCACCACAAATACTGTACTCTAGTTAATTTATTTTCATAGGTATATGAATTAGTAATTCTGAAACTACGTATGCTAGATTTGAACTAATGACTGTGTATTGTGACTAATGAGAGTCTAGTTTCTCAAAGTCAGAAAAAGAATAACCAAATAAAGGGGGGAAGGCTAGATTGAAGGCATTGGTTTGGAATAGTGGGTATCACTATGAATTCATGATTTTACATACAATGTGTTATATATAGTTTATACATATTATATCTAGCCATATGTGTACACATATATTAATAGACAGAAATAAGTAGAGATGTATGCATGTGTACCTACACATACATTTATTTCCTAGCTGTGTTGGCTGGGAGGGCCTAGAAGCAATGACAACACAGAAGCAATGAAGACACATGGCATCAAGGAATTGGTTTCTAAACACCATTCTCTCATAAAAAGAACCATGGATCCTTAGAGAAATGGCTGATTCCAGGGCTGGGATGCAAAATATGCCAGATAAGCCTGGAGGATTATGTGGTGTCAGAAAGTAAGGAAGTGTTCAAAAAATGAAAGGATATTTTCATGCGTCTAGAGGACACAGGAAGCAACTTGAAGGAACCCGTAATGACCAAATCTAGGAAAACTTGAGCAAAAAAATAATGACATTATTAGGTTATAACCTAAAGAAAAAATAAATATCTATACTAATATAAAAATTGAATAAATAAGTAAACAGAGGAGAAGGTAAGCTCTTCCTTAGAGCAGAATTCCAATGAGTAAATGTAGAGGGAAAGGGGAAATAATCATTGGGCACACTTCACAGTTATGGTTATAAGGACGAACTGTCAATTGATGCTAAAATTAGTGGGCAAAAGTATGATGAGAAGTAGGATATTTACATAATCTCAAATATCCTATTTCTCTTGTTGAGGAGATAATCTCCAAGTATCTCCCCAACAATATTACTTATTAGTATATTACAAAGGGAAAAACAGTAACTTTACAGTGAAAAAAATGGCAGACACTACCTTAACTATATAATCACAGATAACATTACAAGTAATAAGACGTACTGGCCTCAATTTCCCCCGATATGATGCGCCAAGAAGGGCACAACATTACTTTAGTGGTATTCTTGCTAAAAAATGTATGCATATGTGGATCTTATCATGAGAAAAGATCCAACTGAAATTGAGTGACATTTACAAAATCACTGGCTTGGATTTTTTGAAAGTGTCAAGCTCATGAAAGACAAAGAAACTGAGGAACTGTCACAGATTGAAGGATACTGAGAAAACACAACAATTAAATGCAATGAGGGATCTTGGATTGGATCCCTGGTAAAGAGACATAGGTTGGGGGCCGGGCGTGGTGGCTCACGCCTGTAATCCCAGCACTTTGGGAGGCTGAGGCGGGCGGATTACCTGAGGTCAGGCGCTGGAGAACAGCCTGGCCAACTTGGTGAAGCCCTGTCTCTACTAAAAATACAAAAATTAGCCAGGCATGGTGGCACATGCCTGTAATCCCAGTTACTCAGGACGCTGAGGCAGGAGAATTGCTTGAGCCCGGGAGAAGGAGGCTGCAGTGAGCCGAGATGGCACCACTGCACTCCAGTTTGGGCAACAGAGTGAGACTCTGTCTCAGAAAAAAAAAAAAAAAAAAAAAGAGACATAGGTGGGAAAACTGGAGAAATTAAAATAAAGTCTGTAGATTAGTTAACAGTATTACACCAATGGTAATTTTCTGATTTTCGTAATTCTGCTATAGTAATATAATATGTTAATATTAGGGCACAGTGAGTACAATTCTCTGCATAATTTCTGCACTTTTCTCTAAGTTTAAAATTATTTCAAATAAATAAATAAAAATATAGTGTGATGTTTCTCTAGCATCTTCTGAAGGTGACTAAGGTTTTAAAAAATATGTTTATGAACTTAAGATTTTAAACATATTTTATTTGTTATAATCCATTATAGGTAAAATTGTCCCATCTTTGACCAGTGGTAACATATTCAGGTTGGATCCTGAGTCCTTTTGACATAATCCTAATAGTATTTGATAGCTTCCTTACTTTGTAATATGTAAATATATTTATACATTTTATGCTCCAGACCTGGAATCACTTATTTCTCCCAGGACTCCTAATTCCTTTTAGTGGGCAATGGTCTTTAGAGAACATAATATGGGTGCTAGAGGTGCTAATTTTGCTGTTAGTCATTGTTTTGGAGCACTTTCTGTGGACAGAGGTAGAAAATATTTTTTGCTTGTTTTAAAGATACACTACACCATGAATTTATACTGATGCATCCAGTTCATACTTAGAACCAACTACTGACTTTTGACTTAACTTCATTGGCCTACATTTCTATTTTCTTTCAACCATGTTACAAAATCTTGCTCTTCAATAATACCAACATAATTACTCATTTGATGCACATAAAGCAGTCTCAGAATATTGATTCCAATATTTAAACCAATAATATAATTGCTGAACATTACACACACACACACATATATATGCAGATCTGCATTTATGTATGACCTTAAGGTATGTCCTACTAAGGATGTATTGTCAAATTAATTGTTTTATAGTCAGATGGAATAGTTTCTCTCTGTGTGGTTATGCTACCAATTGGATACATAACCAAATTCATTTGCCTCATTTTTCTTTTGTTTTTTTTAGGGACATATTGCTATTTAAATTTTGTTTTATGACTGTGTAAAATATTTATTGGTTCTAAAATCAAATTTATAAAGAAACATTATATTCAAAGAAATGTAGCTCTCTACTTACCTCTTCCACACTATTCCTTCACTCTGCATATAGGCAACCACTAAAAAATATGATTTGTCTTTCCATTTTGTTTAAATGTAAACATGTGTGTGTATATATGAATCCATGAAAAATGGTAACAAGTATATATGTTTTCTCCATCTTGCTTGTTTTCTCTGAATATCTTAGAGATTAATCTGGAGGAATATATAGACATTCTTCATTCCTTCCTACAGCTGCATAATTTTTACTTATCCAACCATTCCCTTATTGATGGACATTTAGGTTGACGCTGGTCTTTGGCTTTACAGATAGTGTAAATGTAGAGGATTTTTTTGTTGACTTGGCAGAGCCTTTGAGGAGGAGTCAGGGGGTGAGGTTGTTGGGGCACTAGGATTCCTCTCACATGGTCAGGGATTTACCCTGGATATCCGAGAATGGGATTCCCATTCTGCTGGAACTGTAGTAATAGGTGATTCCTGGTTCCTGGATAGTTGGTAGTGAGAGGTACTAAAATTGTGTTTGTCATGAGAGTTAGCATAAGCTGGGGGCTCTTGGTGGTGGAAGAGAAGAGAATATGGTGCTAGACAGTGGTCAACCCATGCAAAATGCACTTAAACTCTCAGATGCCTAGTTTTCCTTTGGGAAATTGTAATCCAGGATATTCTACCTATTTGTATTTCCCATGTCACTGCTGTAGTAGGGGTTATTACTGTTTTTAAGGCATTAATAACACTGTTTCTGACAAGTCCTGTCTGTTTTCTGTCTCCATCCTAACTTGTTTCTCCTTGTATTATCCCTAAATCAAATTGTCCTGTAGCTTATGCTGGCTCTGCAATAATGATGTAACTGTTTTGGCGTAAACTACAGTGTGCTCGTCTTCATCCCACCTCTCTGACTGTTCCTTTTCAGTCTTTTTTTCTCTGCCTGTCCTGTAAAGTTGGAGTACCCCAAGTGTACTTCTTCTCAGTAAACTCTTGGCCTTCTTCTCAGTAAACTCTTTTGGGTCCTTGATCTTTCAGAGAATTCAATGAAAGCTACGGACTTACTCTTTCCATAGAAAAATGTACATTTCTACCTATGTACAAAATTGTGTGTATCATTTCAAGGGGTTCATGGACACTTCTCCATGAAGACAAGGTCAAAGACATTTGCTCTCACACATTCTGGGCTTCCTCTCCTAGGACCTTCACTTGCCATCTAATTACAATGAATCCCAAGTCCATATCTCAGGCCCAGACTTCTCTCCTGCTCTCTTCAACAGCCTCCAGGTCATCCCTATCTGTAGAACATGTCTATAGCTGAGGTTGCCCTCTCCCTCCCATGAGTCTGCTCTTCCTCCCATGTCCCATTGGGTGGCTGTATCATCTGGCTTGCTGACCAAGCCACAACCCAGACGGCATCCTTGGCTTCTTCCCTATCACTCTCCCCATCTAATCAATGATGCTTAAATGGGAGCAAGACCCATTTCTTTCTCCATGCCGCAATTGTAATTCAGGCCACCATCATCACGCACCTGGATAGCTATAGCAGCTTCCTAACTGGTCCCCGGGCCTCTTGAATGAACCTCTCCCCCACTGGGTATCTACTCTTACATAGCAGCTAGTAAGATCTTTCTAAACTGCAATCTGATCGTATCACTCCCCTGTTGATAACTCTTCAAAAGCTTTCCTGTTGCCCCACTGACGGGTTTTAGCATGACAAAAAAAGCCCTCATTGCTTGCTCCCTGGGGATTCCAACAGCTATATCTAATTTTATCCAGGATTTCTGCACTGGTGGGGGCCAAGGTGAGATTTGATATAAAACTTTATTTTGAAAAAGGCTCATAAGCCATCCAAACAGTTTCAACAATCACCAAATAGAACAGAGCTGAAACTAGGGGGTGGGGCCAGATCACAAACAGTTTCCGAGCAGCTCCTGTATGCAAGGAAGTCTCTACAGTGGATGCAGTGATGAGGAAAACAAGATTTTGCCCCCAAGGGCTTTATAGTCCATAAAGGGGATAAAGGGTGGAAAAAAGAGGCATGTTCCAAATGAACTATTCAAGAAAACAAACATGTAGATGTCTTTTTTTTTTTTTTTTTGAGACAGAGTCTCACTCAGTTGCCCAGGCTGGAGTGCAGTGGTGCGATCTTGGCTCACTGCAACCTCCACCTCCCGGGTTCAAGAGATTCTCCTGCCTCAGCCTCCTGAGTAGCTGGGATTACAGGTGCACGCCACCATGCCTGGCTAATTTTTGTATTGTTAGTAGAGATGGGGTTTCACCATGTTGGCCAAGCTGGTCTCGAACTCCAGACCTCAAGTGAACCACGCGCCTTGGCCTCCCTAAGTGCTGGGATTACAGGCATGCGCCACAGCGCCCAGCCAAGAAAACAAACGTGATTAGATGTCTACCACATGCCAGGCATGTAACGTAAAGGAAAATGCATTTAAATGTCACAGAAAGGGAAAGTACCACAGGGCTGCACGAGGGAAGAGACAACTTCCAGTTGAGGTAGATTAGCAAAGACTTTGTGGAAAAGAAGTGCTTGAAGAAGACGTACTTGAAGGGCAGGCAGGGAATGGACATGCAGAGAAAGGGTCAGGGCCTGGGAGAGCCTCCAGGCAGAAGTAGCCATAGGTGCAAAGATATGGCCTGTGTCCTTTGAAGTTAACCACAACCCTGGGGTGCCCTGCTCTCACCCGGGCTCCAGCCTCCAGACAGTGAGGAAGCTTCTGGAAGCCGAGGGATGGCGCTACTTGCATTTTTCTACATTCTAATGAAACCCTGAAGAGGTTCTGAGGTTCATCCCAGTACAGCTGTTGGCCATTTCACAGATGGAGAGAGTGGAGTCCAGAAGAATTCAATTAAGATCTTCAAATATATAAAGTCATGGAGAATAGAGACATTTTCTGCCCTTTGGAAGCAGAGCTATTGGCTTTGGAAGTTCAGAAGAATAAGGGATCCCTTTAAATTTGGATGTGAGGTGTTAGTCACAGAAGGCGTCTTGGAGGAGGTACGAGTTGAGCAGAACCCTAAAATGGGGGTAGGATTTATATAGGCTGGGAGGTAGAGGGGGAAACTCCAGTTGTGGGAAAAGCACAGGCGTGTTCAGGGGACAGTGAGGACTCCAAGTGGGGCCTGGAAAGGGGATCCAGTGAGACCGACGTGGAAATAAGGCTGATGGGTAAGCGGGGGCCAGACATTGGCCCCGAATAATGGAATCTCTCCTCCTCTGTGCTTACTCTGTGTTCCACCAGGACCAGCTACTCTTCTGCGATGACTGTGACCGAGGCTATCACATGTACTGTTTAAATCCCCCGGTGGCTGAGCCCCCAGAAGGTAATGATGATGAAGTCAACAATAAGAACAGCAACAGATACTACTACTACTAGCACTTACTGAGCTCTCACTATGGTACAGGCCTTATGCTAATGGGTTTACATGTTCATGTCTTGTCTCATTTAATCATCACAACCCCACAAGGTAGGTACGACGACTGCCATTTTACAGATGAGGAAACTGAGGCACAGTCCAAGCAGCTGAAATTTCAACTTGAGGGCCAAGGAAGTTTTTCCCAGACATGCAGTGGAGATGACCGGGAGGTGTGAGCTTCCAGGAGAACTGGCGCAGGCCCGGCGACACTAGTTTGGAGGCATGACGCTAGTAGTGAGGGTCTTGATAAGAGTTGAGCCCATCTCCTCTGAGCACCTGCTTTCTGCTGAGCCACAGACTCTGGCACGTTTTCAGGCCTGGGACTTGGTTTCTGCATTGCCAAAGTTCAAAGGAAACAGGATTTACAAGAAGTTAGGGCCAGTGGGGTGGGGCTCCAGAGTTAGCAGAGGGGCTGCTACTAAAGCCGTCTCATTTCTTGCAGGAAGCTGGAGCTGCCACTTATGCTGGGAACTGCTCAAAGAGAAAGCCTCAGCCTTTGGCTGCCAGGCCTAGGGCCCCAGGTCACAGAATGTGACTCGCTGCTGGAGATCCTAAAGCAGAGCCCAGTTCAAACCAGAACGCGCCCTCCTCCCACATATCCAGCCAGACCAACTGCAAGGAAAAGAAATAGTCCCAGAGGGGCAGGGACACATGGAACGAAGAGGGTGAGGCATCTCCTGACCTCCCCCGATATGTACGGAACTTCAGCCAGCACCTCCTTGTCTCTACCGGAAGGAAGTTGCACTTTGGGAGAACACCTCCGGCCCCAGCCCTGTGGAACCCCTCTCACTTTTACCCTAGCACCGAGGCCCTCTCATTGGTTCCCATTTTAAGGGAAGCCATTTCCTGACCACTCATCCATTACTTGTGTGTAGTGTGGTGTTTTTTTATCTATTGTGTTCCAAGAAATCTTGGCACAGCCCCCGTGCCCCCAGCTTAGGGTCTGCATCCTGAAATTCTCACCTGAGGAACAAAGGGCTGTGGAGAAGTTGTCGTTTATGGCAAGCCTCACTGGAAACTTCTAGACTTGGGGTCTTGAAACCCTTTCTTGTTCCTTGGTGTCTGTGGAGACAAAGAGTTGCCTTCTAGAACCCCAGCAGTGGCATCCACAGCCAGCCTGGTCTTGAGCCACTGCTTAAAGTTACTAGATGGGGGCGGGGAGGGAGGGAGACGCGCAGAGACATGGGAGGAAACATTGTGGAAATGGTGCCAAGGCCCCGCCATAGCCAGTCAGTACTTGTTATCCATCGGGAGAGACTTTGCAAGAGGCCAGGCTGGTTCCTTGACCTTCAGAGCTGGGGCATCCTTTAGGTGAGACCAGTCATGGCCTATGGACAGAGGAAGACGGTCAAGCCTCTGCCTCTCAGCCCACCTGGTTCTGGAGACCTGGTTCAGCTTCTCCTGGTGGGACTGAAGAACCAGGAAGGGGAGCGAAGGCTGCCCAATCATGTGTCCGAATGCTGGATACAGGGGGCTGCAGCTTTGAGAAACCTTCAGTATTGATGCGACGCTCTGAATTCCTTTTTCCAAGTAATTTCTTCCTTCCACGTAGTGTTTGTTCGCTATTGTCTACTGAGACCTGACTGGGAATTTTAGGATGGGGGAGAGAAGATTGTTATCTAAACAAATAATTAGGGTGACATGGTCATTATTCACGACCAGGGTGGCCACATTTTAGAACTCTCAGTGCGGGGGCTGCTCTTGTCTCCTAAGCTCCCCAAACATGCAGGACTCTTGTTTTCAAAAAAAAATGTGTCTAGAAGAAAGAGGTGGGGAGGCTGAGCTTCCGAGAACTCTGTGTGTTGGAAGATAGCCCCGAGGGCTGGAGCGGATTGGGCTGACTTTGAATCGCAGCAGCAGCACAATAACTGACATATTTCTGGAAAAATCATTTGCCCAAAGGGCAGGTCTCGGTGAGCGGAACCCTCGCGCATGCTTGGCTTCTCTGAAATCAGCTCCATCTCTGTGGTCTGGCTGCTCACAACAAAGGCCCAGGTTATTTTTAGTTCTTCAGCTCCTGAGGACGCTCCCGGAGACTCGGGCTAGTTGGGCCACCTCTGCCCGGCCGCAGTATTTGTGCTGTCCCTCGGCAGGAGTGCTCCTCTCTAGGCTAATTGCTCTTGGCCAGTGGACCCAGGGCAGCCTGGCATGAAACCAAGCAGTGTGGGTCTCCCCCACGCTTCAGCAGAGTGACCTGTGGCAAGCGATGGGGGTCACTCTCCTGCAGGGGCCTGTGGCCTCAGAGGGAATCACACACATACATAATGGTCTCATTTAAAGGGCCCCCGACCGGATGGAATTTTCATCTTCCTCATAAGTAATTTCCTTCCGCCTGCTGGTCGGTGAGCTTGTCTGAATCCTGAAGGCCCAGGGAGGGATAGGGAGGGTGACATTCCATCAGAGGGGCACATTTTTTCTCCTGACTACTCCAGCTCTCTCTCTTCCCACAAAACCCAAAGCAGGCTGTCTCCAAAGGCTAATAATTGGTTTTGAGCGTCATTTTAATTTAAATTTAGAAAAAAAAGTTCCCCAAATGTTCCCAAGTGCCACAATAGCTTAAAAGTTTAAAAAGCAAGTCCGAAACCCCAAACTGTGGCTCTACAACTTCACACGTCCTCTTCAGAGTATGTGCAAATTTGTTTTCCACAGAAGTGCAGGTGATAGGGCAGCCCTGTTCGATCTCAGCCCCATGTCTGCTCTGCCTACACAAGCTGAGCCTCAGCTGGGTCTCCCAGGCCAAGGCAGGGCACTGGAACTTGCCTGCACTGGTGAGGGTCAGGGCTCTGGAGTGACGTTAGGATGGCCCCGGAGTTCCCCTCTCAGCTTCATTACTCCCTGAAGAATGGGCCCAACCCATTCTTCATCTTTGGAGGCCTCAGTTTCCCCATCTGGAAAGCGGGGATAGCAAGCCAGCTTGTGGGCTGGCACTGTCAGGGTACTACAAGCAGACAAAAGTCTCCGTGGTCACATTTATCACCTCTGTGTTCAAAAGAGGACGGGGTTGGTAAACTTTAAATTGGTCTCTTTTTTTTGAACCCCAGAGAATGAGATAGAATCATAGGATGCATGTGAAGGATCAGAGTTTTTGTGTTGCCTCTGCCATGGAGTAGCTGTGTGACACTGGGCAAGTCACCTAACCTCCCTGAACCTCAATTGCCCACCTGGAAAGTGGAGATAGTAACACTTGCCCTGCCTATTCCAGAGTGACACTGGGACTCTTAAGCATCATGTTACATAAACAAGCACTGCAGAGCCATGCTTGTCTGGGAAGAACTCCGGATGTTTTCCATGTCCGCCTTCTTGTGTGCATTAGCCAATGTTAGACGTCTTCTTCAAATCTCCCTTGTGACCAAAGGGAGTTTATATTGCCAGGGCTGGGCTGCGACCAAGGAAATCATGACTTGCATGGGCTGTGGGGTGGAGGTGAGGGATGTACATGGGGTTGGGGACTTTAAAATGAAGGTACTCAGGATACTCCTTCTATAAGATTAATGCAGTTGAGAATGGAAAGGTGACTTTTAGAGAGGGCTATGATTTGTTTCAGTTCATGGGTAACGCTCACTTTCCGACCAACACTGCCACTTTCTAGCTGACTGACCTTGGGCCAATGACTTCAACTCTCTGAGCCTCATTTCACATGTCTGTAAGGTGGGGAAACATGGCCTATCCAGCATGGTCTTTGCAGGTATTCAAGGTGACATTGGTAAAGATCCTGGCCCGGGTCTGGCATGATGATGGTCCCCACTCCATGGTAGCTATTGTCATTTTCTGCAGAGGCCACCAAATGGAGATAATGATGTGGTTGTCTTCCGGCTCAAATGCTGGGAACAGCCAGGAGAACTTTGCTGGGCTTCACCCCTCTGTACTGTGGCTCCAGCAAACCAGAGAGGTGAGGCTGCCAGACCCAACCGGAAGTGGAAATCCTGTTTCCTGTAGGCATTTTTGAAACCCTGCTTTTTGGATCTGTAGCAAATCCAGTGCAGGCAACATTATGTGGAAATAGAAACAGGGCTCCTGCTAGGAGATTGACATTCTGGCTTTCCTTTGGAACCCCTCACTGACTCATCGCCCCTGAAGCAGGAGCCAGCAGGTCCCAAGGCTCCCCTGCTCCTGTCCCTGCCCCAGGGCGAGGTAGGAAGCCGGAAGCCTGGGCAGGCTGAGCCCAGCCGACTGGAACCAGGGAAGAGCCTGTGGGTGGGTGGAAGGGAGGGAAGGAGGCCAGATTCCTCCAGAACTGGGGAAGAGAACAGGTTTTGAAGTTGGGGGAGGGTTTGGGTTTCACAGTGATGGTTTCATGATACCCTGGAGGGTTGCACACTCCTGGTGCATTTTTGTATTCGTGCTTTGAATACAGCCCGCTTCCTTTCAACCCTCCGCTTAAAAAGTTTTGATGTTTTAAGGAAGAAAAATGAGATGATTGTTATTACTTTTCCTTTCGGGGCAAGTGGAGGAGACCTGTGCTCTTTTATGCCGCTGAAGAAAGGTTGCTGGCAACCTCAGGCCTCAGGACTCAAAGAAGAGGGGCTTATAGTCTCCTCTTTGGGTCTGTGTGTGAGGAGGTAGGGGGTGTTGCGCCGCCCGTGGCCCAGGGCGGGCCCTGAGGACCACATCCCTGCCCCCCAGGCTGGTTTTTAGCCTGTCGTGGAAGTGCTGGGACAGAAGCAGCCCCTTCTTCTCTCACTCCCCGGCTGCCCCTCCTAGCCCCTCTTCAGGGGGTCCCCATGTCTCAGCCCGAGGGAGAAGTTGGCTCTGGCCAGAGCCACGCTCACACTCCCACAGGATGCCGCAAGTCCCAGGCCTGGCTCCTGGTAGCAGTGGTGACTTGGTGTCCCTTTTAGCAGGCTTCCATTCCTGGGGAGGGAGAAAGACAGGGGTGCCTGGGGAAGGGAGGGTGGGAGGGCATTTGGGAGGGGTGAGGATCTCTGGTGGAAAAAGGCAGAGAGCTGGATGTCCTCAGGGAGAAATCCTCGAGCTAAGGAGCTGGAGGGCAGCAGGTGGGAGTGAACAGTGATTGTAACTCTTTTTTTTTTTTCTGAGGCTTGTGATCCTGGGCAACAGATTATTATTATTATTATTTTGTAAAAAGGCCAAACCTCTGCCCAGTTCTGAACACTGATTCAGCTCCCTCTTTCTTGAGGCCGCCCGTTGGTTGTGTGGGGTTTCAGGGATGCTTCTGAGGGCAAAGTAAGCCCCTCACCCAGCTGGGGAGAGAAGGCAGTGAGGGAGGGCTGGATCATGCCTGCAGCCTTGGGGAGTGAAGCATTTCCAGGCACTGCTACCAGAGGGGTCAGGCCCCCAGGCCCCTGTCCCCCAAGCCCAGGACACCAGTAGCTGGGAAGGGAAGAGGGGGACTGGCCATCCTGCTCCTCTCCCCTCTGCAAAGTGGACAGAGCTCCTCCTCTTCCTGCTGTGTGTTGCCCGTTTTGAAATCTTACTCCCATCCCCAAAGTATGCTTTTGGATACCAGGTGAAGG
The DNA here is from genome assembly GCF_000001405.40 of Homo sapiens. NCBI lineage: Eukaryota > Metazoa > Chordata > Mammalia > Primates > Hominidae > Homo > Homo sapiens. Next base: position 72,614,335 of record NC_000014.9, on the reverse strand, counting down.
GGAAGGATGGTGATGGTGGGGAACAGCTGTTTTAATTTGCCTCAGGCCTATGAATCTCCCTACCTGAACCCCAGCTTGCCATAGAGTCTAACTGGTCCGTGGTCAGAAGGTGGGCTCCATAGCTGTCTGGGGGTTGGGGCTCCCTCCCCCATTTCTGAGCATTCCCAGGGTTTGGGAGTCTGCTTATGATTCTCTGCCAGAGGCCACGGCCACCAGCCCTGAGTGTGGAAACAATGGGACAGATGGGTTGGTTCAAGGCCTTTGGGCAGCTGGTGGTGGGTCTTGGAGAGCTGGGAACCCCTTCCTAGGGAGGCTGGAGACCCTCTGGTCTGTGAGTGGACAGCTGAGAGTGGGGCAGGGGGAAGGAGGGGAGAGGAAGATGGGGGTGCTTCCTGCTGGGCACCCGGGATGTGGGAGGATAGACAACCTCCCAGGCAGAGCGAGTGGGAACTGCCTTAGAGCCTCTCAGCAGCTGTCCCCGGGGAGGCCTGGCTGTGCGGCGGGCGCCCCCTCCATGTGCGCAGCCCAGGCAGCTAGAAGAGAGGCCCAAAGGAAGAGCTGTCAGGAAACTCTGAGGAGGAGGGGTCCGGGCTTGCCAGTTCCGTACCATGGGTTTTCTAGAAGGAACAGGGAACTCCCTGCATGAGGGGAAAGATTTGGAAGTGAGTGGGTTCCTGGGAACAGGCTCTCTCTGGGTTCTGAGTGAGCCCTGGCTGTGAGGGGGTCCTGAGGTGACTCCCCAGGGCCCTTTGTTCCAGCTTCTGTCCCCACTCCTTCCCTTTCTCTGCTCCAGTGCCAACCTCAGGTCATAGGGCAGGTGGCCTTGAGAGAGGGACCTTCCACAGTTCCCCTTCTTTGGCTCCACCAGGAGAAGGGAGTATTTTGCTGATGGCGACATTTCCCAGGGCAGGCCAGAGGAAGGCAGGAACCAGGACTGGCAGGCAGCCAGAACCCTCTTGGACAGAGATATAATTACTTATCATGACCTCTAGCCCAGGCATTGAGCAAAATGGCCCTGTAGGCTGGCACCAACCCTGTCTAGCAAATAAACGCGGCCATGGTGGGGACGGGAGGGCAGGTAAGTGGGCCTTGTAGGAAATGGCAGAGGCCTGTGAGCCCCTGGGGCCTATATATTCCCTCAGCAACACAACCCTACAGACTCCCAGGTTATATTTTCACTCACTGCATCCCATTTGCTCATTTGCTCGCCTCTCTGCATCTCTGTTCTTCATTTCAATGTTATGAATATTGATGATGAGAACAGGAATGCCCATGTGCATGCGCGTGCGTGCACGCACGCACATACACACACACACACACACACACACACACACACACACACGCCCTACTTAATGAACCAAAGGGAAACTTTGATGTTGCTCCAGGACAAGAGGGAGAGCCAGGGGCTGCCAGGCAAGGTGCATCTTTCCTGAAGTCTTCTCCAGTCCTGCTCCTCCAGCTCTCAGCCTCTGCACAGCCACCAGGGTTGCAAAGGGAGCCTTGTGCTTGGAAAGCTACTGGCTCCGCGACCTCTCTCCTTCTCTTCCCTTCGTTCACCTATGCTTCTTTTCATGAAAGATATTTGGCAATAGTTGGGTACTTCAAAAGTCTCAATTCTGCTATCAAAGGGATGCAAAGCTTTTATGGCTAGAATGGGGTTTGTGGTTTATACGGACTTGGTTTGCCCTTCCATGTCTACTCCCCACTGAGACCCTGATTCTCCTCCTGCCCTCTCCCTTCCCTGCACTGTTTCCTCCCTTCCCTCTGCCGTGATAGATGCTAAGGAGTGGGGTGGAGGTGGGAAGTGGGAAGCAACAGTGGCGTATAGGAAAAAGAAAATATACCCCGTGCACATTTTCAACATGTAGTTGAAGAAGCCTAAATTAGGTACTAGAAAAAAAAAAAGGACAGAAACACTGCCTGATATGTGAGCAAGAGCATGAAAATATAGAATGATTATCTCAGAGCAGAGGAGGTGGGGAGCAGGTGGCTGGAGAGAGGCGGGGTAGGTAGGCAGGGCGTCCCTGGCTCACCAATGCGTCTGGTCCACATGGCATTTGGGAAAGCAGATGGGTCATGCTTTTGCAATGAATGGTCAGATGCTTAGGGGGCATTTGTGCTCCTCTGGCCAGGAAAGGGAACAGAGTCCATCCAAGCTGCCCCCCACTCATCTGCCATGGTTGTCCACCCTGGGGGTTTTTCCTCTGAAGGAAAATGAACCCATCTTTTGCCTGCCATGAATCATTGCAGGGCAGGCTGTTACTGGCTAAATTAAAACCCTTGGCAGGGCATCGACTGTGTGCGAGGCAATGCTCTAGGTCCTGTAGGGGCTGGAAAATAAACCGCATGCTGGCCTAGCCTTCAAGTTGCTTTTCAGCCATGAAATTAAGCTCTGCCAAGCAATCGTGATTGTAGGTCAAGTATCGCGCCATCACGGAAGGTGTAAGTATATGTAGGTTTCTCTGTTGAGGATGCGTGTTCCTCAGTAGAAGACAAGCAGGTGGAGGCATCCAGTGATTTCTACCCTGTGGAGGCTGAGGGGTCGGGGGAAGAAAACAGATGACCTCAGCCTAGTTGCTTTAATCTGCTTTTCCAAGCACTGGATGCCCTTGGATGACAGCATCCTCAGCATTAAAACTGGTGAACTGATGAAGTCACCTGGCCTGGAGTGTGTTGGGCAGCCAGTGTCCCCAGAGCTGCTTGTGGGTTTCTGGGGTGGAAGGCAGGGAGGTGCAACTGGCAGGGCCTGATCAGAGGCAGAAAATGACCCCCACAGTGGTCTTTTCCCTGCTAGAGAAAGCAGAGAGCGGGACTGGGGGGGTGGGGGCTTCAAGTACAGATTGGGCACACTCCACCAGACCCCAGCAAGGTCAGCTGCCCCACGCCTGTATCTGGCACTGCTGGTGTGTGCAGGGATGAAACCCAGCATCAGAGAGGTTTTCAGCAAACCTTCCATGCTCACCTTTGGCCAGGTGCTTGTCAGATCCTAGCTTCGTGCTGGCTTAGACTCTCAGTTGTTTGTGTTGACAGCATTAGGAATAAACCGTTTGTTTCATCTTTCCTTTTCTCCACACGTGTCACAGCCAGATTTCAGCTTTGAGTTATTCCCTGAAGAAGCCACACCAACCTTGCTTTCAAGCAAAATGCCTGGGCTTGGGGGAAGGTGTGTATCTGTCCATGTGTGGATGTTGGCTCAGAGCTATAGCTTCTCTGTGGGGGGTGGCCCAAGGGAAGGCTCCTCTGGGGCCCTGGATGGCACATGACTCCCAGTGAGGAGAATTCTGGTGATCTCTGTGGAGGTAGTCAGGGACACAAGGCTTGGCTGTGAGTCTGGTTTTAAAGTGCGTGACAGCCTGAAAAGCATGCAGGGGTTTGGTCCACTCACCTACTTGAAAGCCTGTGGGCAACGTTCTTTTGAGCCAAGACTTCTCTGAATGGCCCTGCTGGTGGAAGGGGTGAGGCAAAGGCCTCTGACTTGGACCCTTTCCACACCAGACTGGCAGCACTTCCCCCAGGCAGCCAGTGGTGGGCCCTGAGCCCTCAGGTCCCCAGCTCCTTGAGGGATGAACCTGGGAGCCCAAGAGCCAGTGGCTGAGCTCTGAGAAGGCTCCATCTCCCACCTGCCCTTGAGCGCGCTCTCAGGCTGAGAACACGGTCTCATCAGGCGCCTTCCTGGCCTGATGCTGTGCTGTCTACGTCACACGGTCGATTCACAAAAGCCAGAACTAGACCTCAACCAGGTCATCTCCCCGTTGCCAAGTGGGTTCAGGGTGAGGGCAATTTGTAAGCTCAATTTCTCTGACAGCCAAGACATGGAGCATCTCTGCTAAGAAGCCAAAAGAAATTGGTTTTCTTCTTCTCATTGCTGAAGCCCCTCTGTGTCTCTTCTCAGGGACAGGCTGGTCCAGTGGCTTTGGTGAGGGCGCCTCCATTTGTGAACGCTGGGATTCCTCTGGGTGGGCTTTGGCAGGTGGCTCCTATGGTAGGAAGGATGACCAGGTCCCTGGGAATGAGCTGCCTACCTGCTGCTCCACGAGGAAGCTCAGGCCTGCACAGGCTCCACCAGGCCTTGGATGCCCTCTAGTTGAGTCAGAGACCCTGGAAACACACTGAGATCTCCAATTGCTGCCTCCATTGATGTCTCTAGACCTGCAGATACGAAGCAAACCTGGGATTGCTTCTTCCAGGTATGGGCACCAGAGAGGGAAGCCACTGCAACATTTTATCCCCATCATTCCAAAATGCTTGCTTGTCTCTTTTACCTCACACTCACAACTCCTTCTGAGACTCTCAGTCATAAAGGAATGACCAAGAGAGTGGGTCTCCAGTGAGAGAAATGCCTATGAAAGAGGGTTTCCCTTTTTGCTCTTTTGAACACCCTCCCCACTGATCCTTGGGACCCAACGCCGCATTGCCTCTTGCAGATGAGGTTTTGCCTTGGGCTGCTTTGGTACTTCAGACCAGGACTGAGTCTGACACAGCTTTCATGAGGTTACAGAAAAGGGCTACAGATTTGGGAAGCTGTGTGTAATGGTCTTGAGACAATATCTCCATTTGGCCCACCCTGGCTTCTCTAAAAAGCAACGACAGCAACAGACAAACAAAAAGCTCCCACCTCCCACCCCGTTAGCTGTCCTCCTCCTTCACTGTGATGTGGTTGCGGTCTCTGTAGGTGTGTGTGCCACCCTTGTCCTCTGTCCTCTGGGGATGTGCCCTTCCCACGTGTGTCAGGTTCCCACTCTTTCGTGGTTCCTAACGTGAAGTGCTGTGATGTTTCTGCCCTGCCTAAGGAACGTATCAAGCTCTCTCAGTGTTTCAGTGTTGGAGATTGAGGCTGTGCCACATCTTCTGCCATCCTAAGGGGACATGATGGTTCTGTGATTCCCAGAGAGCTGGCAGATTGTGACAATCTCCAGGAGAACCTACAGATTGGAAGCAGCCCACACCTGATGTGGACTCCTGACCCGGGACTCACTCTTCATTCAGAAGACTGGTGGCCCACGTGCCAGGACCACCCCACCTCTCTTGCTGCCTTTTCTCCTGTCCTGATGGGGTTCTGGGAGGGAGACCTGTCGCTGATGAGATGAAGAATGTGGGGATCGAGCAGCCTTCTTCTTTGGGACCCCTCGATATCCCATGGAATGCTCGCACGTTCTCAAAGACTGAGTCACAAGCCCCTACCCCTTCCTTGCTGTGGTTAGTATCTTGTTCTGTGATTGGTTAGCAATGTTGACTACCCACGTAGTGAATCTTTTGTCTGCAATTTAGAGAATGTGTAAACAAATAAAAGGCTTTAAAACTCTTGGAAACTCTTATTTTCCCTACGGATAGTTAGGACCTCACTTGCAAATGTAGAGATCCTGTGGGGGTAGAGCCCTTTCATGTTGGGGTGTGCAGTAGGACTGCATTGTGTAAGAGAGAGAGAAAGAGAGAGAGGGAGAGAGAGAAACACGCATGCGTGTGCATCAGGCTCCAGAGAAACACTAGTGCTTTCATGGTTGCAGGGAGACTCCAGGAGCAACAAATTCCAGGTCTCAGTTGCTGCCTGGTGATGAGCTTCTGGCCACGTCATACATAGCACCAGGGAAGCCACAGTCACCGTGACAGCTTTCATGGGCACAGTGGGCAGCATAGCTTCAGGCCTTAACTGAGAGCTTCATCTGCAGGAGTAGAGCAGCTCCTTTTCTGGAGACCCCTCAGAGAAGCTCCTAGGGCATCCTGAAAGGAGCCCCCTAGATTTTCTAGGAGAAGGGAGGTTGATGAATCAGAGATGACTCACAGGAGAGGTGGGGGAATATGGTTGGGGAGAGAGAGAGACCTCTGGTGCAGGACCCATCTAGAAGCCAGCTGAGTCATTGCTTCTTTTCTCTCAGCTGCCTTCCATGAAGGCAGTGAGTTGGCTGCCCTGGGCAAGGAGCAAGAGGTATCACAGAGGACACATCTGCCCCTAGAGTCTCTAGAGTCTGCTTAGCAATGGCCTTAAAGCAACAGCCTGTGGGTATAGGACTCCTGGTCCATGCGGGAATTGGTTTCCTGAGGCTGCAAGTTAAGAGTCAGTCTCCCAAAAATAAATTTTAGATAGATAAATAAAGGCCTCTACTCTATGCTAGGTACTGGGGCTACAGCAGAGAAGACAAAGCTCTACCTCTCATGAGGCTCACAATCTTGCCAAGGAGGCAGGCACCAGACAGGTAATAGTACAACATGTGATGAACGGGGTCAAGGGGGAAATTGAGGGAACTAGAACATGAGCTCCCTGGTCTCGATCAGTCAGCGTGGTTTTAGTTGGAAGCTACTGTGCATTTTGGTAAGACACAGGTGGGCATGGCAGTGGGAAGACACCATGTCACTTTTTATTCCTCCCCTAAGTGAGTGCTGCACTGTTCTTTAATGAGTCATCCATGCGCCTTCAGCCTTTGCTTTTCTAAGCATAATGTGGGGCCGTTATTTCGGCAGAGAAGCCATTGATGGTTGCTGCGGACATGGGTCATTGAGCAGGTTGTCGAGCCATCTCTGCAGTGGGAGAGATGTTCGCATTCAGGGACCAGAGGGGAAAGGCCAGGCCTTCACCCAAAGCAGTTTCAAGTGACAGCTGGACCTGCAATGCTGAACTGCTAAATTCAGCAATCAGGGGGACTTAGGCTCATATAACAAAATCCAGGCAGCAGACGATTACACAGACACCCACATTCAGGCCTTTCATCTGCACAGAGAGCTGTGCACATTTCTGCTTTAACCCCAGGGAACCCGGCATTGCATCCTAGTCTGCTATGGTATGAATGGTATGTCCCCCAAAATCCATATGTTGAAATCTCCACCCTCAGGGTGATGGTATTAGAAGCAGGGACTTTGGGAGGTGATTATGTCATGGGGGGCAGAGTCCACATGCACGGCATTAGTGCCCTTATAAAGGAAGCCCAAGACAGACCCCTTGCCCCTTCACCATGTGAAGTTGGAGTGAGAAGGTGGCTGTCCATGAGGAGGCAGGCCCTTGCTGGACACCGAATCTGCTGGCACCTTGATCTTGGACTTTCCAGTCTCCAGAATTGTGAGAAATAAATTTGGCTTATTGTTGATAAGCCACCCAGTCTATGGCACTTTATTATAGGGGCCCAAACAGACGAAGACATTTTATCCCATCAATTTCTGAGAGAGGTCTTTTGAGAAGGCAGTAGATGTGCCATGTTCTGTTGGACCTGAGAAAGTTAACTATTATAATGCAGCCCAGAAACTGACATTGCCCTGAGTCAGAGGGATGGAGGAGGGAGGGGGTGTTAGTCCATTTTGTGTTACTAAAGGATATGCCTGAGGATGGGTAATTTGTAAAGAAAAGAGGATTATTTGGCTCATGGCTCTGCAGGCTATACAAGAAGCATGGCACCAACATCTGCTTCTTGTAAGGACCTCAGGAAGCTTTCAATTGAGGAGGAGCAGGTGTGTCACATGGTGAGGGAAGGAGTGAGACAGAGAGGGGGAGGTCCTAGACTCTTTTTAACAATCAGTTCTAGTGTGAACCAATAGAACAAGAACTCAGTCATTACCTACCGCTGGGAGGGCACAAAGCTGTTCATGAGGGATCCACCCCCACGACCCAAACACTTCCCACTAGGCCCCACCTCCAACACTGGGGATCACATTTCAACACGGAATTTGGTGGGAACACACATCCAAACTATCAGCGGGGAAAAGTGGAAGGATCCAAGTTATGTTCAAGCAAACGCAGAGCAGAACGGCCTTCCTCTGCTTTTTCCCTGGGGAGAGGAAAAGGCTTGGAATGGTGGTGGAGTGAGGTGGCGAGACCTAGGAAGAAGGGACCAGTGGGATAAGATGTTGATGAGTGGCTCAACACCCGGCAGTAGTGGGAGTCTAAGGGGTGGGGTTGCGATAGAGATATAATATGGTTTCCCCTCCCTGGGTTGGCAGAAAGGCTACTGAGAGAGGAATCAGAAGTTCTAGATCTTGTCTTATCTGGCTGGGTGACATTTGACTTTATAGATACAGGCATGAGTTTCTATAAAGTCAGCCCTAGACTTAGCGGGTTTGGGGAAGGGGCCATGCAGATCGAGGTATACATGCACCAAAAGATCATGCCTGTCTTCCAGCCCCCAGAGTTGGCCTGAGTCAGGGGCCTTCTGGGGTGTCTGGCAAAGTGTGTTTCCATGCAGTGCCTTGGAATGGCATGGTTTAATACCAGACACGATGAGGCCAGAGGTTTACATTGTTCTAGAATAGTGGTTTTCCAAGCAGACTTTGCAGAGGCCTAGGATTCTGGGAGTGATTTGGGGATGCCCAGAGGTCTCGGGGGACAAGGGTGGAAGGAAAGTCCTTGAGCCTTGAGCCCCAACTTTCAACTCAAACCAGTGACCAGCACAGCTCCGATTTGATCTGTGTCTTCTATTGGTGGTTCTGCTGCTTCAAAAAACACGCAACAGTTTGAAACCATCTTTGGGGCTAGATGGTGGGAAGGGCACAGGGGTGTCCTCTGAGGTTGTGCAGAGTGATGATGGGAGGTCACCTCGGTCCCATGACCCTCTGCCATGCACAAATGGATGTAGCCCATTCCCGGCTTTTGCCAAGGGGGTCTGATCTCCACTTGGGGCTTCTCCCTTGGGTTACTCTTAAGAAGAGCAGAGGGACATTGGTATCATGACCAGGAGGGTCCACTCTGTCCATTCCTGGGCATCCCTGCAGCCTGCAGCACACACTACCCTACCTGTCCCCAGCCCGGCCTGTCTTGGTGTTCTGCTGTCACATCTGCGTCGTAAGCCTCAGCCCGTGTTTTGAACCATCAGCGCTTTTAGCAGGGCCAGAACAACAGTGTGTCCCCAAGGTGGGTGGGTTAGGAATGTTCGGGCTAAACTTCAGGTAATTAGCATTGTTAATGCTCGTTCTGTGATATTACAGCTGTGAGCCTCATTAAAGTGTTCTCCGGGGGAAGCAAGCTGAGATCCAGGTGTCAGCTCTCCTCTGCGTGCAAGCGCCCGCCTGCCATCTCCAAGCCTCTGTGCTGAAGCCTGGCTCATTCCCATCCCCTCCTCCTGCTCCTGCTCCCTCTCTGCTGGCATCTGGGCTGGGCCTGCTTCCCTTCGCTGGGATTTGCGCCTTCCCATCCCCTTCTCCAGCATGGAAAGCTCTGTCTCCCCTTTACCCAGAGAGAAACGTGCCCACAGCATGGAGTGGAATGGCTGCCGCTGGTCCTTGCTCACTCCAACTCAGCTTTGAAAGAAAGATTATTCTGCTCCAGACAGGGAGCCCAAACCTGCCCTCTACAGTGCCACGGCATTTTATCCATGGCTGTACCCTCCCTTGCCTCCCAGAAAACCCAAGACCTGGTGCTCCCCACCTCCTGGCTATTTCCTGGGCCCAACTGGCATCTGTTGCAGTGGCCCCGCTCAGAAAGAAACCCGAGTCCCTCTGGCTTTAATTTCTGGGATTCCTGATTCCTGGGAGGGGAGGCAGGGGACTGACTATTTGCCAAACAGAGAAATATGAAACGCTCTCCAACCCCCTTGAAACCTTGAGGAAAATAATGCCATCCCCGCCAGGGACTAAACACAGGCTCAACCCAAAACAGAGAGGGAAAACACAATTCCAGAGAGCCTCCCTGGGGGCTGGGAGGAGCTAAGGAGGGTCGTACCAGCACCCAGACCCTCTTATTCTCTCCCCTTTCTGCTTTCCTCAAACCCCTGGGTCATCTGTGTCCACAGAGGTGCATGTTCAGAGCGGTCATCCAAGCCATTTTGATGGACACAACTCACCGTCTCATGTGGCTACAGACTTGGAGGATAAAACTTGACAGCAACTTTAGAACTTCCCAGTGGAAGCAACGGGCCAACTGAGAGGTATAGCATGTACATTGTTGCCTTTAACTCAGGATGGAACCACAGATATGTGGTCCCATAGGCACACAGGAAGGGAGATCATCTGTAGAAGGCCTTCATGAGGAGGTGCATTGGAGCAGAACCTTGAAGAATGTATAAGACTTTGACAGCAGTGATTTGGGATTGGGGATGGGCTTTCCAAGTGGAGAGGGCAATTTGAACAAACCCGCCTCCGTTTATTCTAGGGATGCTGGGCTGAGGTTGTCTGGGACCTGTGTCTTAAACACTGCAACCCAGGCTGTACCTCAGATCTAGGGCAAACTCTTCCATGGAGCCTAGTTGCCACATGACACACAGAGGGCCATTTTCTGAAGCTAAGAGCCAATGTTGGGGGCTCAGAGTCTTTAACCTGTGAGAAAAGAGCCTGAGATCTTCCAGCAACTAGTCTTCCACTTTGTTTGATGTGTGGGCTTGGATCCCGTTAAACTATACTCTCTTGGATCCTGTTAAACTATACTATTACTCTCTCTCCCATCCTCTATGCAGTGTCCAGAAAGATAACTCCTTAAACTTCTGTCTGATTCCTTTTTATGTGTTTTCTTACATTCCTCATTTCCCACAAGGCACTCCCTCATTTCTCACAACGAACCACTCTAACCTTATCTTTTTGCTTTTGTCAATGTGGTTGAATGGAGATCTCTTGTCTGGAATCTCCAGAATGCCACCCCAACCACCCAAGCAGGAACTTTCTTGCATACATACTCGTTCTCCACCTACAAACATTTCTGAGGCTCCAACCTCTTATCTATGTTTTACCTATCCCTGTCATATAGCACCTGATGCTCCCTGCTCGTTGTCAGCTTTCTTGAGAGCCTCCCTGATCAGACTAGCTCTTTGAGGGCACGCACTGTGTCTTGTTCACTGTTGAATGCCAACTGCCTGGATCATATTCAACAACAGAATGGGTGGATGAATACAGGGATCCTTGAATGAATGATTGAGTGTGTGAATGGGTGACTGAGTGGATAAGAGGAAATCCAGTGGTGTGGGGAGTGGAGCACAGTTTGCCTCATAGGCATGGATATTTCTCCCTCTGGGGCATGGCCCTGGCAGAATCAGAAGCAGATCTCCTCCCCTGGCGCCTGTGGGAGGAAGGCAGTTCTGTTGGCTAAGAATGGACTGGGCCCCTAGGCCTTTACCCATCTGTTGTTGGGTTACTACAGCCCACTTAAAACCCAAATCCTTCAAGTCTTGCTGCATTATTAATCATGATTTATTCTAAGTGGGCCACCCTGTGTTCCTCTTAAAGGAAATCCACTATGCACTTAAAGAAATAATAAATTATGAAAATGATCTCCATGTTTCTCTGGGGCAAAATGGCCAACTTTCTTCTTAAAGAGCTCATAAAGGGCCCTGAAAAAAATACATTATTAGATTTAGTCCCTAAACAGGCATTCACAGATTAAAACTATTTACAAACAACACCTAAAAGCCCAGGGCTTAAAACTGGTGGTTTATAAATATCCTTTGACTTTGTTTAGTTTCTTTTTTGATTTTTTTCTTTTTTCTTTTTCTTTATCTTCCTCAGTGATCCTTGTTCTGATATCCTTTGATTTTAAGGGACTAGAATCAAGGACTGCCTTTCTCAACGTGGATCTAGCTTTGGAGGGGAATGGAACGCAGCTTCTGGGGTGATCCTTCAGTTGTGCCATAAAATCATTAGCTTTCCTCTAGTTATGCCGTTTAAAAATATACATTGCACTCCTGTATGCTTTTAATTATGTCTTGAGGCCAAAATTATTGCCCTTGGGAATACATTTCCAATTACATAATGGAAGTCAGGAAAGAAAATACTTTTAATTACAAAAGTCACTGGGCTCTAACCTTCGGTGATCCGTTTGCCAAATGGAGAGAGGCACCAGGAGAGCTCACCCTTGCCTCGGTGCGCACTGTGAGTCGGCCGGTGGAGGGTGGCTTTGGGGCCTGAGAACCCTTGAGAGAAGGCTGGCAATGCCACTCACAGGCTGGATGACCTGTGGCGGCCATGCTACATAACCTCCATGAGCCTCAATTTCCTCGTCTGAGAAATGGGGAGAATGACACCTACTTTGTAGGGTTGCCGTGAGGATTAAACACAGTCACATGTGTATAGTACCTAGCATGTATGGTTCTTCCTCTCTCATCCTTCTCCTACCATCCTCTCGTCGACCATGTAATCACTGATATGGCAACAAAAACTTGATCCTAGAATAAAAGGTTAACAAGTTCCTACCCTTAAGACGTAAGTTTCCTCAAGAAACTTAGGTGGCAGAACAGGGCCGAGGAAAGTACCCTGGCTTGGGAGTCAGAGAAATGTGGCTTTGTCTGTTTTTCCTTTTCTCTTAATGGAGGGAATTATAGCCATCTTCTATCTTGCCTTTGTGGGAAGATTCAACGAGGCAATGCGGGTAAAGCCCTTGGCCCCGTATCTGGTACACAACAGGCTCCCAGTAATAGCAGTATCATCTCGGATTATGAAGTTTACCTGTGGAAATTGAGGAGAATGTGGCAAAGGCCACAAGCGCCCCCAGACACTGTGCTATGAGAGTTCAGAAGGGAGGGTGCTTCCAACTGGAGAGAAAGCTAGGAAGGTTTCAGAGAGGAGGTGGCATTTGAGCTAATTTGAACCTTAGGTTGTTGGCGGGGAGGAAGAAAGAGATTATGTCAGGCACCTATGTGGAGACAAGAAAATGTGGCTAGTAGTCTAGGCTGGCCAGTATGGAGGAGAGTTTTATTTTATTTTTAATTGACACACAATAATTGTACATATTTACGGGATACAGTGTGATGTTTTGATACCTGTATGTGTTGTGTAATGACTGACATGGATAATTAGCAAATGCATCACCTCAAACATTTATCATTTCTTTGTGCTAAGAACATTCAAAATCTTCTCCTCTAGCTCTTTTGAAATACACAATACGTTATTGTTAACTATAGTCACCCTCCTGTGCAATAGAACAGCAGAACTTATTTCCTCAGGAAAGTTTTAGAAGAAGAGGCAGGAGTGCCTGGGGCTGAGGTCCGACCTGGAGCACCTTGAGTGGGAGAGGCAGCAGTTTCTGCTGGAAGTGACAGGGGCACCACGAAGGGTCCTGAGCAGGGGAGGGTTGGGAGCTGTGCTGAGTGGGTTAGATTCGGGGGTGGGGGTGGTGAAGGAGGTCCCTGGCTTTCAGAGCAGGCTCTGTCGCTTAGATCCTGCTGCTGGCTATGATGGTGGGAGGCTGGCCAGGCTGGGCCAAGGTTAATGCTAAGGGTGTGTGAGTGAGTGCTCTGTAGACCATACCTCCTGGGACTGGCTGAGCCCCCTTTCGGGTTAGGATGAAGGGCTAGAGGCTGCAGCCCCTTTGGTCTGTACCTCGTCTACTGAGGGACCTATTCCCTTTCCTCCCCTTCTTCCTCCTCCTCCCCCTCCTCCTCCTCTTCCCCCTTCTCCTCCTCTTCCTCCTCCCCCTCCTCCTCCTCCTCTCCCCCCTCCTCCTCCTCTTCCTCTCCCTGCTCCTCCTCCTCCTCCTTTCCTTCCCCCACTTCATCTTTGCCTCTTTCCCGCAGCTGCAGCAGCCAGGGGAGGGCTACAGTCAAGTGGGAGGTGCAGGGAGCTGTGCGGGGAGTAGGGACCCTATGCTGGTGGTGGGGATGCGGCAGGGGAGAGGCTGGGAAGCTGGGATGGCCAGTGCTGGTGGCCGCTTGGCCTGGCTGGCCCTCCTGTGACTCCCTTGGTGTCTCCGGCCCAGGGAATGAGGAAGTGCAGCTGGTATGGTGTGGAGGAGCCCGGCAGGGGTCCAGACTGAGAACATGAACATGGACAAGATCCCTGGGTAGCCTTTCTCTAGACCATGGCTGGGCTTCAGGGCTCCTTGAATTTGTCTGTAAAATTGTGTGTGTGTGTGTGTGTGTGTGTGTGTCTGCCTGGCTTCCTTCAGATTCTCAAAGAGATCTATGACACCCCCAAAGCTTAAATGCCTCTTATCGTGCAACCCTTCATTTTCCAGAAGAGGAAACTGAGGCCTAGAGAGGGGGCGTGACTTCCTGTGTCCCAGGCTAGTTCACTGCCATCCTGGGCAAATGGAAGGAGAAGGATGTTCGTCAGGGAAGTAGGGGTGCTGGGAGCTGGCCTAGCGCTGGGGACAGAGAGGAGGGAGGGAGGGAGGGAGGAGGGCAAGAAAGGAAAGCCCAGAATCGCCTGGGGAGCAGCCATCTGTGTGTTTTGTAGAGGCCAGTGCCTGGCCAGGATACCTGATCCCCTTCCCCAGGTATTGTTCGTGTACTTTCCCAGGGTCCATGGGGCTGGGCTGGGCAGAGGGGGAGAGAGTGAAGGCAGTAACAAGTTGACTCTCTCTGTGTGTGTATGTGTGGCAGGGGAAAGAAAGGAGGAGAAGAAGGGAGGGGGGAAGGACAGGGAAGGAGAAGCACACAATGACACAATGACAACCACAGGCAGAGAGGGAGGCCCAGGGCCCACCGGAGGGGCAGGCCCTCCCTCCCTGCCGTCAGAGGGGAGCTCTCCTGGCTCTGGAAGTCCCCCTGAGGCCTTGGGGCCAGGACAGGTGTGGATGGAAGCTGAGGCTTCTGCCAGAATTTTCCCGAGAGCCGTTCCAGGAACATGAACCCGAGGCCTGTGTGAGCCCACAGGACTCGGAGGCTGGTCTCAGGGCTTACCACTAAAATCTTATCAGTTCCTCCTCAGCCCCACTATCTCCCTGCTCCCTGCTCTCATCAGGGGCTGTGACTGGTTTTGAAATTGCAGACTCTGGCCAGGCGCGGTGGCTCATGCTTGTAATCCCAGCACTTTGGGAGGCTGAGATGGGCGGATCATGAGGTCAGGAGATCGAGACCATTCTGGCTAACATGGTAAAACCCCGTCTCTACTAAAAATACAAAAAAAAAAAAAAAAAAAAAATTAGCCAGGCGTGGTGGCAGGCTCCTGTAGTCCCAGCTACTCGGGAGGTTGAGGCAGGAGAATGGTGTGAACTCGGGAGGCGGAGCTTGCAGTGAGCCAAGATTGCCCCAGTGCACTCCAGCCTGGGCAACAAAGCAAGACTCTGTCTCAAAAAAAAAAAAAAAAAAAAAAAAAAAAAAAAAGGAAAGAAAAGAAAAAGAAAAAAAGAAATTGCAGACTCTGGCAGCAGGAAGGAACCTTAGGAGTCAGTAAGCTCAGTGGTTTTCACAATGTGCTGTGATGAGCCTCAGGGGCACCATGCGATGAACGGGATGGGGCAAGGGGCTGATGACACCCACCCAGTGCTGTTCCCACCAGAGCAGCACCACTTTTACTGAGTAGTGTTCCATCTAAAATTTTGTTGGGGAAAGAGTTTCTTGGCTAAAAGTATGAATTCTAGCCCTCCTTTCCCCTCCCCTGAATTTTATGGGAGAGGAGAACTGAGGTGGAGGCTTGCTTAGGGTAATAGAGAATCCCGTGGCTGCGCCGGGTCTCCCAATGCCCAGACCAAGCTTGTTTAGGGTAATAGAGAATCCCGTGGCTGCACTGGGTCTCCCAATGCCCAGACCAAACTTGTTTAGGGTAATAGAGAATCCTGTGGCTGCGCCGGGTCTCCCAGTGCCCAGACCGATTGCCTGGTCTCTTCCTTCTCCCCAGAATGGGCTCAGTCTAAGGGAAGAGGAGACCGAAGTCCTAGAAGGGGAGAAGGAATGGGCCAGGAATAGGGAGACATAGAAAGCCCCCTAGAAGGGTGGTGGCTCTCCTGCTGGCATAGCACAGAGAAGACCTCCCAAAGAGAACCCTGGACCACAGATCTGGCTGCCTGCTCCTGCCAGAGCTTTGGGGAGGTGTAAGCTCTTTGCTCCTCCAGCCCTTGGGTGTTGGGATGACTCCTGTGCCCTTGTCAGCTTGGTGGGAAGCTGTGGCAAGCCTGTCTCTCTGTCTTCCGAGGCTGCGCAGACAGATGAAAGTGGTCCCCAGCCGCCGAGTGGGGCGCTTTGAGCAGAGGTGGCTTCTGGACAGCTGTGGAAGGCCTTGTTTGCATATATGCAAATGGATGCCTGGCTTCTCTCTCCCTGCATCATTCAGGCAGATCCAGGTGCTGCTGGAAGAGCTCCAGATCTTGCATCAAAATTAGCCTCTTGAATGGGCTTTTTGGTCTCTCAATGAGAAAATTCCTTTGAAATCTTTCCAAGACCCTGGGACCCTTCCTAGTCCCCAATTCCACTCCCCCTTTCAGTCATGTCAACCTCTCAAACTCTTGGAAATAGAGCTGAAGAATCAGATTTAGAGACAGCCAGGGGTGGAGGGCAGAGCTCAACTCCGGCAGCCAGGAGGTTCTAGGTGCTGGCCCTGGCCTGTCATGGTTCAGTGTTATCTGGAAGAGCCCCCTAACTTCTCCCCACAATGCCCCTGAGGGGCAAAAGAAGAGAGGGGTTGCCGGTCCCTTCCAGCTCCGTTGGTCTGCAAATGTTTGTGAACACCTGTGCACTGGGGATTTTTGTTGTAAATAACAGACACCCACTCAAGGCCACGAAATTGAAAGTGGGCCATTTTAGGAGGGCACAGGGTGTCTCAACACCCTTGAGTGGGAATGGGGTGGGTTCAGGAGGGGAGGAAAGGAGGGTGTGGAGAGCTGCCGGCTCCCTCCATCTCTCTTCTCAGCTCCTTTCTGGGCAACCGCCTCCATCCTCTCTCTCTGGGGGCTGATTTTTCTCTGCTCCTCGGTGCACATAGTGAAAAATGAATGTCCCACGGCACCCAAGTCCAGGAAAAATAACACACAAAGACTGAGTCCAATGTCCGTCAGGGCCCAGCACAAAGAAATGATGAATGTTTGAGATGATGGATTACCCTGATCTAATCACTGTACATCGTAGGTATCAAAGCTTCTCACTATATAACCCATAAATATGGACAATTATTATGTGTCAATTTAAAAACGTCTGTCAGGAGCCTGATTCCAAATTACATGGACAAAACATCTATTAATTCAGCTTGAATGAAAAGATTTATGTCTGGTCCAACCAGTCATGGCCGAGAGGTCAGGGACACGTAGGAGAAACGTGGCTGCCTGAGGCCCACAGCCCTGGCTCCTGGGGGTTTCCAGGTGCTGGGCAAATGCCCAAGGAGTCCACTACACCCTACTAGGCTGAATTACAGTGAGAGCTACTGAGCCTTTACAACGAGCCAGATGCCATGCTAAACATATTTCTTATAATATTCAAAAACAAATGCATTCGATGCTATTATTATCACATTTAATCCTCACAACTATCTCTCTCTTTCTTTTTTTTTGAGATGGAGTCTCAGTTTGTCACTCAGGCTGGAGTGCAGTGGCACGATCTTGGCTCACTGCAACCTCCACCTCCTGGGTTCAAGTGATTCTCCTGCCTCAGCCTCCTGAGTACCTGGGATTACAGGTGCACGCCACCACATCCAGCTAATTTTTGTATTTTTAGTAGAGAAGGGGTTTCACCATGTTGGCCAGGCTGGTCTCGAACTCCTGACCTCCAGTTATCTACCTACTTTGGCATCCCAAAGTGTTGGGATTACAGGCGTGAGCCACCGTGCCTGGCCTCTGTCTCTTGAGATGGGTTTCATTATTCTACCCGTTTTACAGATAAGGAACCTGAGGACTGGTGAGGTTAAGTAACTTGTCTCAGTTCATACAGCTAATACCAGGCAGAGCTGGGAATCTCACCTGAGCCTCTCTGAGCATCCTGTTTATCCTCTGTAAAATAATAACTTCTGTTTAACAGGACTCTCATGAAGCTGAAGATGTAAGATACGATGAGTGCTTATCAGAGTGTTTGGCATGTAGTAACCACTTAGTTATGATGAAGTGGCTCTTTGACCTGTGCCTGAAACCCTCTAAGAATTAGGGATTAAGTATCTTCAAAGGCAGTCAATTCTTCCTCTGGGCAGCTCTATTAACAAGTTCTTCATTTCCTGAACTTTTTTTGCTCGACTGAAATTGGGCTTTCAGTACCTCCTGTCTGCTGGCCCTAACTCTACCAATTAGGGGCTGTAGTCATGGCCCCTCAAAAATGTTCATGTCCTAATCCTCAGAACGTGTGATGTTTCATGATGAGGGGGAAATTAAGGTTGCAGGTGGAACTAAGGTTGCTAAATCAGCTGACTTTAAGATAGGAAGATTAACCTGGATTATACAGGTGGGTCCAACATAATCACAAGGGCTCCTAAATGATGGAAGAAGGAGGCAGAAGAGTCAGTATCAGGGTAATGGGATGTGAGAAAGATCTGACTTTGGAGATGGAAGGGAGTGACAAGCCAAGAAATGTGGGCAGCTTCTAGAAAATGGAAAAGGCAAGAAAGTGGATTTTCCCTAGAGCCTGAAAGGAATGCAGCCCTCCTGATACCTTGACTTTAGGGGCTTCGGAACCTCAGAACCGAAAGATAATAAATTTGTGTTGTTTTAAGCCACTACATTTGTTGCTGCAGCAATAGAAAAATGACTACAGGGTTATTCTAAGCAAATCAGAACACTGGTATTCTGTTCCCCTGAGTGTCTTCTTAGGCTATACAACCCTGGTTCCTTCAAGTGCTCCTCACATGAATGTTTTAAAGAGCTCAAGCCCTATCAGAATCAGGAGTTTGGCAATGAGTGGGGGCACCTGTGGCTTTCCGTGGAGGTACGTGATTTAAGCAGCGCGAATGGGCGGAGTCTAGACCATAGGGGTTTGCAACCGTATGATGGTGGTGTGGAAAAGGGTAAATGTAAGTATAATTTATCACTTCTCAGGCTCTCTCAACACCATGCTAAATACCAGAGTAACCTTTAAAGAAGGCAGAGGCCATCAATTAAATAAACAGATCCTTGGTGAAGAGTAGAAGTGTAAACACAGGCACCATCTCATGATTTACTGATGGTGAATCAGCCTTATTCACTTGGTGGGCTGTTCTCTGTTCACCCTAAAGAAAAGGGAGGAAATCCATCACAACACCATGAGGACCTTCATAAAACCTGCTAAGCACCAACATAGATTACAGAAAAAGGTTTGGCATTGTATTCCTGGGGCTAAGCTTTTTGTTTGTTTGTTTGTTTAAACTAAGAGGTTGCAGGAATTTGCTGGGAATGATTTAGTCAGTGCCTTTGGAGAGGCAGGGTGTGGATGAGATGATCTTTGGACAGTTCATCTTACCTTTGAGTTCCAGGATACAAAGATTCACGTTCATGATTAAACCACACATACGGGTTGCTTAATATAGATAGAAAAATACACTGAACCGGTGTATTTAGTTCCAGTGACCTGAGGATGCATATGACACATTCAGCAAAATCGGGCTAGGGATTAATATTGCTAAGGTCAGGGTGGTCATTTTGGGCACACAGCGGGTAATCTTTCATAAGGGTTTACCACTCTTCCGTATCTTAGTTCATCTATAATGAACTGGCAGAGAGAGATGGTTATTAGAAAATAAAATGCACTTAGAGTCCCCCATGAATCATTTATGGGAGACACCATGCTTAGCAAAGACTATGAAAATATGGCTGTTAAGGGCAACTCAGGCACTATTTCTGGATGACTTTCAAGCATGACCACTAGCTACAGGACTGGGCCTGGACACATTAGAAGAATTTAGGCCTTCAGGATGAAAAGGAAAATGTGTGGGCAGAGACTGAGTCCAAGGCAGTGGCCTTCACAAGTCACCCTGTGATGGTGTCCATACTGCGAGGCATCCCTCACCCGAGAAAGCAACTTTTTCTGCACGGGATGACTCTGGTTACATTTGCTTGTTCCCGCCATGAATAAAAGGAAGAGAGGTCAGCTGAAGAGGCAATTAATTCAACACAACTGAGGTTTGGCAATTAACTTTTAAATATGCAAGCAGTTGAGGAGAGCGAGGAAGTGGTTTTCTCTTCGCACAGCCAGTGAAAGATGGTGCGATGTTATCAAGGCTTTCGGGTAACCAGCAAAAAGTTTTTCAGTTACCACTCTGCCCACAGTCAGAGTATGAGTGGTGATAGCCTAATGATAGGGGTGCAGGAGCCCAAAGAAGGAGAGAATTGGTGCTCTCTAGGTTAAATATAAATAGAACTTGTTAAGATCTTTCTAGAAGGCTGGGGGAAGCAATCAGCTAGCTAAAGATTTGTGCAGGAGTTTGCCCCAGGGAACACTTTAACCTAGGCTTTTTATTTCCTTTGCAGTCTACGACTAAAGGAAAATGGACGAGCTTCCCCACAGGTGAGTTCGAGTTCTATGAGGCCGCCTGCTGGGAACTGGGAGAGGTCCTGTGGTGGAGGAGGCAGTGGAAGGCGAGCGTGGGGCAGGAGGGCTCTGCTTTGAATCTTTGCTCCACTATGTTTGAGTTGTTGGACCCTGGAGAAGCCCTTTACCTGCTCTGGGCTCCTCTGTAAAGTAAGGGTCAAAAATACTTACCTCATAAAAGACTTGCCTATTATGAAGATTAAAAGACGTTTCATAAGCCCACACTATCTTTTGGGGCTTGCGGGGAGATAGAAATGACTGTCCTGGGAGTTAAGAGATCTTGGTTCTGGTCCCACTGCCACCACCAACCCATTGTGAGGCTTTAGGAAAATCGCCCCCACCCCCCCACCCCTCTGATGACCCTCAGTTTCCCCTCACAGGATGAGGGGGTGCACCAAATGAACTACACTTTGCTGTTGAAAAGTATCACCTGGGCGGTTCAGCTTCCTGAACATGTCAGCTTCTGGACATTCTAAGAAGAGGTGGGGTGGCCCAATAATTTTTTGTTTTTTTAAAGAAATCACTGGAGATGTTTGGGAAACACTAGATTGGATTTCTGTCTTCTAGATATAGCAGATCATAAGAGTTATACAGTGGATATAAAAACACAGACTTCTGTTGGGCACGGTGGCTCACGGCTGTAATCCCAGCGCTTTGGGAGGCTGAGGCGGACAGATCACTTGAGGACAGGAGTTCAAGACCAGCCTGGCCAATATGGTGAAACTCCATCTCTGCTAAAAATACAGAAAAATTAGCTGGGCATCGTGGCATGTGCCTGTAACCTCAGCTACTCAGGAGGCTGAGGCAGGAGAATTGCTTGAACCTGGAGGCAGAGGTTGCAGTGAGCCGAGATCGCACTGCTGTACTCCAGCCTGGGCAACAGAGCAAGACTCCATCTCAAAAAAACAAAACAAAAAACAAAAAAACATAGACGACCAGAATCTTTAGCAATGAGGCATAGAAAGCTGCATTTCTTGCTATCGTATGATCAGGTTTGTTTGGCAAACATCAGTCTAAATAATCTTAGAGTCAAAGTTATGAATAGTTCTGCTCAGAGCGGATGTTCAGCTAAGATGCACAGATCTGAAGCCTTACTTGAATGGCAGCATGGAAAGATGGCCTCTGGGCAACTGATATTCTTTCTTGGGCATGGTTGTGGGTCCTTAGGAGTCCTTCCTTCTGTCCTCTCCTGCAGCTTCCTTGTCAAGGATGGCCACTCCTCCAGCATGCCCACAACTCCTAGGAATTGGAAATCATCTCAGCTTTTCTTTGCTGAGGATTGCTCACCCCTCGAAGTGGCCCCTCTTGGACAGGGCCCACTGTGACCACATCTGCCCTCCCTGTACCATTGGCTTACAACTGGTCCAAGGGACACTCTCAGGCATCCCTGCCCAGCCACATTCTGAGAGTTTGTAGGTCAGCCACATTCTGAGAGTCTGCAGTCCTAAGGCTGCAGAAACATCTTTCTTCCACAGTGGGAGCAGCCAGGCAACTTATCTCTCCCTGCCAGTCCACTGTGTCCATCCATCATAGCAGACATGTACCAGGCTTTCTGAGTGTCTCCTTGAAGTCCCTTTCACAAGATTTGAGATGAGGGACAGGTACCTCTCTCTCTCCCTCTTGGAAAGGGTGAGGCCCACAGCACATCAATAATTTTTTTCCAAATAAATTTTCTTCACAAATCTTCTCCCTTAATCTTGAAAAGCCAGACCATTTTATACCCTCAATGTAGGTGTGGGTGAGAAGCTTGAGTTCTGTAATAAGTTTTTAGCTCTTTCCTTGAAAATATGCATCATCTGGCACATTGGAATGTCATGTCTATTGTGTCATGGTTTCTCAGGCAAACCTTCAGCTTAACACCTTGTTACACTTCCTTTGGTCTTAATGGAATTGCAGGTGGAGATAGGAACAGCCATGGAATGTTCTAATGCTTGAAATACAGACCATAGCATGCACCCATGTGCATGCCATGTATTTCTTGTTGAGAGTTTCTTGGGAACCAGTGAATTTGGCTGGACCATCAGAAAATTTTGTGACTTCTCCCTCTGCCTGTTGTCCAAATGGTGGAGAGATGGACCCTTGTGGCCAGAGAACACACTGGTGATTTCTCAGACTTCCCTTAGCATTTTCAGAGGATCTCAGGGTGCTCTTTCCCTTTCTCCTCCTTATTGGCTTCTTTGTTCCCATGGAATCACTGATGAAGCCCAGCCCTCCTGGAGTTAAGTGTGGTCAAATGGTAAAAAATCCCAGGTGTTTGTTGCTATTCATCTTTGTCTTGGACATTTTGGATGACTCTCCCCTCCTGGGACTAGAGACAAACTGAACTGACTTTCCAGGGCCTCTGTTGGTTTTAGCATGACGGAAGGGGTAGTGGCTATTGAGGAGACGGGAGAAGAGGGAGTAGAGAGAAGGGGCTGCCATCTTGATTCCACCAAGGATGTCCACGGTGAGGCTAGCCAGGACAGGATACCCAACCCTTCAGGCTAGATGTATCCATTTGTTTTCTCTGGGCATGTTTTCCATCTGTTTTTATGTGTGGGTGTTTATTCTCTTCTGCGAACTGGTCTGCCACACAACAAGGTGAGAGTACCTGCATCCTCTGCTGCCAACACCCACACAGTCTCTTGTGCAGGTCACTGGACACAGTAGGCACCAGGTAAATGCTGTGATTGAGTGACTGAAGCTGAACGGGCTCAATTAGAAGCAGTCACCAGTAAACCTCATTTACATTCAGTTCCCTTAATGCCACAAGTGTTCCTGGAGGGCTTTCTAGGTGCCTGGTACCACGCGGAGACATTACATTATTATTTTGGTCTGAAGCCAATAGAGAGATCAAATTTAGTTCTCCAGCCAAACCTGGTTTAATCATAGTTATTATGGAAAAAAAATTAGAAAAAAGGAAAGATAAGATGAAAAAAATCAGCCATAATTCCACCTCTGGGATAATTATTGTTAATATTTTCTTAAATGTCTCTAGTTTCATGTATGTTGTTTCACATAATTGAATTTACTTTTATATTCAATTTTGTTTCCTTCACTTCATTTCAGATATCATTTAAAATGTATTTCTTAACATAATTTTGCTTCTTTATATAACGGGTTTTCGTGTTTATAAAAATAATGCATGCCCATTGCAGGAAATTTGGAAAAAAGGATGAGTATAAAGAAGGGGCAAAATAGCATTATAAAACTTTCTCCCAGACAATGACTGTATTTCCTTCAAGTCTTTTTTTTGTATGAATTTATTTGTATATGTTTTACAATACTGGTACCCATACACCATGCACAGCTGTTTTAAATGTATTTTTTAATGTTTGGTAAAATAATATGTGCACATAGTAAATAAAAATGGTATAGCTAATAAAAATAACAGAGGGGTTAGGATGAAAAGCAATCCTGTTGCCTCCTCTCTCCCTTCCCCAGTCCTGATCCTCAGAGACAGCGGCTTCTAGCCCTTCTGGTCTTTTCTTCTGGTGGTTATGTCTTTCTGTATTTTCCACCTGACGTGGGTTTACCGCCATTTCCTGCTTATCAGTGTTGGACCTTATCCGCTAGACTTCCTGCTCTCATTATAGGCTCCTCTCCCCGCCTCGCAAATGGTTATAATTCCTTTACTGGTTACTTTTTGCTGCAAGCAACAAGCGTTTATCTTTTTAATCTTGTTCCATCAACTCTACAGTTATTTTGGCCCCTGCAACCCCTTCTTCACCTAGCCCCAGGTGACTACTATTTTTGTCTGTTCCAGAATTTCCTATAAAGGGAACTTACGGGTACGTCTTTATGTCTGGCTTTTTTTCCCTCAGTGTAACGTTTTTGAGATTCTTCTAGGTTGTTGTATTGCTCTGTTATTGCCGAGTAACATCCCACTATATGAACGAGCCACAATTTGTTTATTCATTCACCTGTCGGTGAACATTTGGGTTGTTGCAAATTTGAGGCTATTATGAATAAAGCTGTGATGCCTATTCATATTCAAGCATTTTTTGTGAACATATATTTTTATTTCTTGGTTAAATACCTAGGATGGGATTCTGGGTTATGTGGTAAGAGGCTGTTTCACGTTATGAGAACTTACCAAACTCTTCTCCAAAGTCATTGGACTACTTTAAACTCCCACCAGCAATTAATGAGAGTTCTAGTTGCTCCACATCTTTGCAACGCTTGGTATTGTTGGCCTTTTTAATTTTAGACATTCTAGTGGGTGTGTAGTGGGATCCCATTGGTTTAATTTGCATTTCTCTGATGACTACTAATGTTGAGCATCTTTTCATGTGTTACTGGCCATTTGCCTATCTTCTTTTTAGAAGTGCCTGTTCAAATCTTTTGCCACTTTTTAATTAGGTTATCCTCTTATTTAGTTGTAAGATTGTTTTATATTTTGGAGCTGAGTCTTCAGTCAGAGAGTCCCTTTGTGTGTTTTTGAACCCTGTGTTTCCCCCATCCAATACTGCATGGTAAGCAATTCTCTGTGTAGTGACTTTGTTTGGAAACATGATATTTAGAGTTTGTTAACATTATAGCATATAGATGTATCATTATTTAATAGTTTTATCTTTTTTGGACATTAATGTTTCCATTTTTGTGATTGCTCTAATAATGCATATCCTTTCACAAAAATCTGGTTTGTTCCTTAGGATAGATTCCCAGAAGCAGAGTAACAAGGTCAAAGGGCAGAACATTTTAAAGGCTTTTGATATATATATATAGTGACATATTGCTTCCCAAGAAATTTACATCAATTTTTTTTTCTTTTGAGACAGCGTCTCATTCTGTCATCCAGGTTGGAGTGCAGTGGTGCTATCTCAGCTCACTGCAACCTCTGCCTCCTGGGTTCAAGTGATTCTCCTGCCTCAGCCTCCTGAGTAGCTGGGATTACAGGTGTGTGCCACCATGCTTAGCTAATATTTGTATTTTTTGTAGAGACGGGGTTTCACCATGTTGGCCAGGCTGGTCTCGAACTCC
The DNA here is from genome assembly GCF_000001405.40 of Homo sapiens. Lineage (NCBI taxonomy): Eukaryota > Metazoa > Chordata > Mammalia > Primates > Hominidae > Homo > Homo sapiens. The sequence goes on along the minus strand of NC_000014.9, from coordinate 72,589,340 downwards.
TGGGCTCAAGTGATATACCTGCCTTGGCCTCCCAAAGTGTTGGGATTACAGGCATGAGCCATGGTGCCCAGCTGAAGTTTGCAGCAATTTTAAGCGCCCCCAGCAGCAGGTGAGAACCTCACTTTCCACTCCAACTGCTAGCTCTGGATATCTTTATTTTATTTTTTTTAAACACTGATTTAATGGGTGGAAATGGCAGTTGGTTTTAAACTGTATTTCTTAAATTATTAGTGTAGTTAGACATCCTTCCAAGTGTTCAGCAGTCATTTATTTTCCCTCTTCTATGAATGGTTTATTCATGTCTTTTGTTCTCAAATGGATTTCTGAGGCAAGCTTCCCAACTCTTCGAAGGAGCTGCAGCAGGTAGAAGTGTTTGGTGTTGGAACAGAGTTGGGGGGGCATGCTGGCAGCCAATCAGAGAGAGGGGTTGCTGGCTTGACGGGGCACCTGGGACACCCAGGGGCCCTGCACACGACCATCCATCTCTCCTGCACACTCCTTTCTTCACCCAGGCCAACGAGTTTGTGGAAGTTCCCATTTCTTTCTGTAAATCACAAGGGGGTAACAAAGAGGGAGTACCCCGAAAGAAAGAACAGAAACTTGCCTTCTGAAAGTTCAACTGTAACTTTGTTACCTAAGGGAGCATAACAGTGACATGCGTGGTCACCAGACAGGGTCAAAATGGCTCCAGGCCAGCAAGTTTTGATAGCAACCTCAACAAAAGAATTGCCAGACCTAAATAATGCTCATTACTCAGAAGGGGGAAGGGGTGAGGCTCTCAGGCATTAATACAAGTATATAAATGCCCCAGGTCCATGGGCAAAAAAAGGTCACAAGAATTATAATCCTCAACTTTCACTAGAATTTGCCTCAAACTGATGATGCAGAACATCTAATTCCTGCAAAGGGCCCCCCAATATTTTAAGCTCATACTCTTACAATGAGTCCCTGCATGTGGAGGTGGGAGTCCTCAGAGGCGTCTCTCACGAGCTCAGGAGTGACAGTCCCTCCCAGGTCTTTCTGGGAATCTCTAGGGCATGTCTCAGATATGCTCACAAATGAAAGACCCTTTTACAATATTTATGATAGTTCCCAAGTACTCCCACAGGTGAGCTCACAAACAAGTCTTCCCAAGTATTTCTGGGAACCCCTGGGGGCTATCTCACAAAGGCTTCCAGATGAGAGCTCGTCCCAATATTATGGGGGTCCCTAGGTAGTGTCTTTTATCTATACCATAACATGTTTCTGTGCCCAGATATTCCTGGGAATCCCTAGGGAGAATTGTACCCGAGCTCCCCAAAAGGGCTGCCTCTTTCTGGTGCAGCCACTGCTCTAGCTAGAAGCTCCCAGGTTCTGGAGCCTCCCCAAGACATCTGGTCAAGCACTACCATCTCTTACTGGCCGATGATGTCTCCCTGTTGTTGGAAGCTTTTGGGATGTCAAAGCTGCAGGATTTGTGAAGCAAAGTGGAGTAGAATCCATCTTTCTCTGTGGCCAAGCAGGGCCTCAGGGTGGCCAAGCAGGGCGGGTTGTGCCCCAAGGTTTTACCTAGTGTTAGTAGACAGTTCTTTGTACTTTACCGACAGTTCTGTTCTGAATGAGATTTGGATAGGACTCATGTGGGCTGGGCCAGGGGATGAATCTGAGGGGCAGAATTTTTCTGCTGATCATGGAGGCTTTGCTGCTGGCTTAAGTTCATCACATCTGACTCCTACTACCCCTGAGGTTGGACCCTTTCCAAGGAGACTCTTCAGGCCTCCTTGTAAGTGGGTATATTAATTATTTGCCAGTTTAAGGATAAAGGAATTTATTATAAGTTATGGGGTGGATTTTACCTGCATCAGGAAATGGGCCAGGAGAAATGCCCAATGACTATTAGAGCAGAAACACACTGCTGCGACCCCCTGGACCCACCTCATTGTCTCTGAAACAAGGGGCGAGGTGATAGAACCGTCACAGCTTCCCCCAGCAACAAAACACCTCAGTTACCAGTTCTGATCTCCCCATATATGGCTGCCATCTCACACTACTCAGTCCCATTTTCCAGTTCTCTCATGGATGTGTCTGCTTGGTGGAGAGTAAGTCATGTGGGGGCTGGAAATGGATGTGGTTTTCAGTTCTCAGTCTTTAAGTCCAGGAAGGCATGCTAGAGGGGCTTGGCATGAGTTAGATGAGCCATCGTGGGCATTCATGGACATGTCCCATCAGCTACCAGAAACACAGAGACGTGGCTGACCCAAAGTATAGGTGAAAACCATGCTTGGAGACAAAAGGCTGTTATGGCTGGACACAGTCCTAACACACTCTGGGGGCTGTTGCCCTGGTATGATGATTCAATCTGTCCATTCTTTGTGGGGATTATGTTCCTATTCAGTAGATGAGTTCATGAGAGTATCTTGTTTTAGTGTTAAATATTCAGGTAATATTACTAATGCCTCTTATTCTCGTTGGTTGACTGATTGACTCATCAAATATTTACTGAGCAGCTATTATGCACCAGGCCCTGCAAAGTAGTATTTAGGAATATTAAAAAGAATAAGATACTGTCTCTGTTCTCAAGAATCTTGCTGTCTCATGGGTAAGGCAGACAAGGCATCAGGCCATTTGAGATGCTGCAGACCAAGATGTTTCGGGATGAAGTAGGGATGGGTTGTGTTGGGTATATTGTTTCAGGAGAGAGTAAGCTCTGCACGAAAGGTCAGAGAGGGTGGAGATTAAAGAGGCCTTTCTGACCAAAGTGCCCTGTGTCGAAAGGATCAGTATCTTACTCCATTCACATTGCTATAAAGAAATCCCTGAAGCTGGATAATTTATAAAGAAAAGAGGTTTATTTGGCCTGTGGTTCTGTGGGCTGTACAAGAAGCATGACACCAGCATCTGCTTCTGGCAAGAACTTGAGGCTGCTTCCACCCATGGTGGAAGGGGAAGGAGAGGAAGCACGAGAGAGAGGAGGAGGCACCAAGCATTTTTCAGCAACCAGTTTTCTCAAGAACTAAGAGTGAGAGCTAACTCAAACCCGTGGGAATGGTAACAAGCCATTGATAAGGGCTTCACTCCTACAACCCAAACACCGGCCACCATGCCGTACCTCCACCAACACTGGGGATCAAATTTCAACATGAGACTTGGTGAGGCCAAACAGACCATATCCAAGCCATAGCAATCAGGGAACACTAAGCTCTGCAAAAAGGCTGAGTCCAGAGATAGGAGTGGGGATAGATCAGGACAGAGGAGTCAGTGGGAGCCAGGCCATGAAGGATCTGTAACTCTGTGATCTGAAATTCAGATTTTATCTAGAGGGGAATTCAGATTTTATTCTGAAGACAGCCAAGGAAGAGTTTTAAATGGTAGAGTACTATGTTCCAATTGTGTCTTCGAAAGATAATTCTGACAGTCATATGGAGTATAGACTGGAGAGGACCAGAGAGAGCAGATTGAAGACTCTATCCAGGTGAGAAGTTTTGAGACCTGAACCAGTGGCAATATTGGAAGGAGAGAACAGGATGGATAGGAGAAGTGTATAGAAGGTAGCCCCTCAGCACTCATCCCTCATGGGATAATCAGGATGATACAAAGGGAAAAGAAGTTAAGGATGATTGAGTGGAGGTTTTGACGTGCTACCCAGAACTCTTCAAGACCAAAGGACTTATTCCTCTAGCTCCTGGGAGAATTGCCCTTGGCTGAAGACAGCCATCTTGTCCAAGATCACACTGCCTTCCTGGACAGCCCACATCCAATGACTGGTCAACATTTGGGTGTAAAAGCTATTTTCCAGACTTCTCAACCCAACTCAAGACAACTTTGAAGGGCCATCCCTGCTTCAAATCTCCCAGAGGGCTTGGATGAGGCCTTGGTTGAGACTTTGTTGCAGCTCAACTTCCTCTTCTTTCCAACCTGCTTTTTTCCCTTCCCTTCCACAGGTGGGATGTGAAGAGCTCTTTCTAATACACCTCATTATGTTAATATCCATCTCAGAGTCTGCTCCTCAGGAAACTCATGCCTGCAATGTCTATCCTCCTGGCTTGAGAAGTCTGTAGATGGTGTTGTCATTCACTGATTTGTGGAATAGAGAAAGAGGAGGTAATTTGGAGTGAATGGGAGGGAGATTGTGAGTTCAACTTTAGAAAAGTTGAGTTTGGACTTCCTGAGACTTTCAGAGAGTTGAGACTAAAGTTCAAGAGAAATGTGTAGACTGAAAGTATAGATTTGGGAGTCGTTAGTATTCTCAGGTTGGTTGTCTTAAATTGGCCTTTATTCCAATCAGAAGCACATATCATTTTTTTTTGGAAATGAAGACGACATAATGCTTGGGTCTCTTGGTCTTTTTCTTTGCATCTAGCTCCTGACTGCATGTTGGGTTTCTGGTCCATTGGGTTATTATGGCCTCTAGCCCTGCTAACCCTGGGCTTGGTTCAATGCAATCCTCCAGACACAGCTCAGCTCTAGCCTCTCTTATACTTGCCTGCTTCATTTTTAGCCTTGACTCAATCCCCCCAACTTCCAAAAACCTGGCTTTCCTACCTGACTCCATGATCCAATATTAAGCATAGTCCTGGTGTGAATCCTTCTGATAATTCTAAGCATCCTAATGGTAAATGTTGTTGAGCTAGTCACTGTCAATCCCTGTCTTCCCCAGTCTCTCTCAGCTGCAGGTGGTGATGCCTTCATCCCATGGCAGAGGCTGGCGCTTTACTCTCTGTAGGATCACCCTCTGTCAGGATGCTGCCATCCCCAACTGCCTTTGAGCATCAACCTGTCTCACCTTGGGCCTTTTCACTGGCTCTTCTCCCAACCCCTGCATGGTTATCTGGTCCCTCCTTGTCATTCAGATTGTCATTCAGCTTCAAATGTCAGCTTTTCGGAGAGGACTTCCTTGACCACCCAATCTAAAGTAGCCATCCAGTCCCTATCACATCACCCATTTTTACTTTTCTGCATAGCACTTATTACTACCTGACATTTTCCTATGTGTTTATCTCTCTGTCTTCCCCTGACTGAAATATAAATCTGTAAAAAGGGAGGTCTTGTGAAAATTGTTCACCATTCTGTCTGTCCCCAGCTCCCAGAGTGATGCCTGGCACATGGGTGTTCAATATACATTGAATGACTGGCTAAGTGAATCTGTGATTTGGCTATTGTGGGTCTTTATTAGATTGAATTTATTAAATTGAACACCCCAGACAGTGTACCCACTGGAATGAAATCTGACACCCACATTTCCTGTCTCTGAGTTTCTGGCTTGCTCTAAAGAAAAGCCTGCCTGAAATATGACCATTTATGTTATGGAAATCCAGATGCACCCCCTGCTTCCTTGGCCACCAGTTCATTTCACCTCTTGGATGATGATTCTTTCTCATTTTGTTTTCTCCTGCACCACTGGCTTGATTGGTGGTGATTAGCAGAGGGTGGTCCATTTATGTGAAACACCTGCTTCCCACCTGTGTCCCCATGAGCAGACAGCTCTGGACCCAGTGCAGGAAGCCGGCGGGTGTCCTCCATGGCTGAGTGGGCTTCCAGAATTTTTTCCAGGAGTCAGATCCAAACTGGCACCATATGGGTGGCCACCTGTATGACATTTTGCCAGCATTGCATTGAACACATCTGCCAGCTTATAAAAGAGACCCCGTGAGGCCTGGGGCATCAAGAAGGATTGGCAGAAAAGCTGGCCCAAGAAGAAGGCTGAGCCAGAGGGAAGCAATTTCCACTTTGTGACTTGGTTGTGATTTAATCAGTCTCCCTTCTCTTCTTCATGGAACCAGCAAACACCAGCTCAGAAGACTGTGTTCTTGCATCACTCCCATTGATCTACGCTGAGATCAACACTCTGGGAGAGTGGACAAATGTGTCAAAGATTATTTTGCTCCAGCCCAAAGTACATATTGACACAGCAATGTTCTTATGTGTGCTAGTCAAGATTCTCCAGAGAAACAGAACCAATAGGATCTGTCATCCGTCTATCATCTATCTATCCAGCTATCTAGCTAGCTATCATTGATCCAGATCTAGATATAGATATATGAGAGAGGATTTATTAGGGGAATTGGCTTATACCATTATGGAGGCCAAGGAGTCCCATGACAGGTTTTCTGAGAGCTGGAGAACAAGGGGACCTAGTAGCATGGCTGTATTCAAGTCCAAAGGCCTGAGAAGCAGGAGGGCTGGTGGTGTTACTCTCAGTTTGAGGCTGACGGCCTGAGACCCGGGGGACTGCTGGTGCAAGTCTCAGAGTCTGAATGCTGGAGATCCTGGAGTTCTGATGTCCAAAGGAGGAGAAGAGTGTCCCAGTTCAGAAGAGAATGAATTTGCTCTTCCTCTGCCCTTTTTTTGTACCTGAGCTTTCAGCTGATTAGACAGTATCTCCCCATAAAAAGTAAGGGCAATTTTTTTTTTTTTTTACTCAGTCCACTCATTCAAATGCCAATCTCTTTAGGAACCACCCCCACAGACATACCCAGAAATAATGATTAATCAGCTTTCTGGGTTTCCCTTAATCCAGTCAAGTTGACACCTAAAATCAATCATCACACCATGATGAACCAGACAGGGTGGAGGGTGTGATTATTCCCCTAGTCATTGCATCATAGCCATGTCATTCATCCAATACCTAGTCATGCTACACTACATGCTGATGAACAGATGTTGTCCTTTGGGTCGGTGATAAGACTCACAGAACCAAGAGTCAACACATTTGATTGTATGGGTCTGGGTGGAACACACCAGCCAAAACTGTAAGGGAAACCCTGAGCTACAGGTACTCCATTTGAAAACATGTCTCAGTTTTGCATGTTTGGTTTTCATATGTGATTTTGCCATCTATTTTGTATGTGTGATTCTGCCATCCTAATCCTCAGTTATGCTCACCTCAAGCTATTGCCCCACTGGGTAATTTACAGCCTTTTCCATTTTTTTCCATGAATTTAATCATTTAATACTTTTGAAATGGTTATTGTTTCACGTTATAATAGATACAGGGGATATAAAGTTGACTACAACAGCATCCTTGCCCTGTAGGAGCCCACAAGCAGGCGGGGGAGATAGGTATTACGGATTAATACACTGTAATAGCTCATGAAGGGGACCCTGCTGTGCTTTGCGTATGGTTTGTTTCCACTGAAGCTCATGTTGAAATTTGATCCCCAATATGGTGGCATTGGGAGGTAGGACCTGTGGTAGGTGTTTAGGTCTTGGGGGCAGATCCTTCATGAATGGCTTGGTGCTTTCTCCTGGTAGTGGGTTCTCCCTCTGCAAGACTGGATTGTTTTCCCTGGGAAACAAATTAGTTCCCATGAAAGTAGGTCGATATAAAGCCAAAATACCTCTGGGTTTTGTGTCTTCATACGTGTCCATTTCCCCTTTGATCTGCCATGTTGTGATCAGCAGGAAAGCTCCCACCAGAAGCCAGGGCTATGCCCTTGAACTTTCCAGCCTGCAGAACCATGAGCTAAATAAAACTCTTTTATTGGTTAATTATGCAGCCCTGTGTATTCTGTTATAGCAACACAAAACAGACTAAGACAGACCCTTATCCCAAGTTTGGAGGAAAGAGGAATCAGAGAAGGTTTCTAGAGAGAGAAGGCTCTTGGGGTCAAGTACTGGAGGAAGAATAGGATTTGGTCTTGTAGGTGGAGAAGGGAAAGTATTCTAGGCAAAGGTGGCAGCATGTGCATAGGCTGCTAGTGAGAGCAGAAGAATCACTGGGACACCAGGGGTAGTTTCAGTATGACAGCAGCTAGGTTCACGCATGTGCAAGGGATCAGAGAGGCATTTGGACACACATCCTAAGGGCAACGAGAGCTACTGAAGGATTTATCAGAGGCATTACAGGATCAGACCTGAAATTTCTGATGATTCTGGCTGCAGTGTGGAAAATAGATTGAAGAGGGCTGGATTGCATGCAGAAGGCCCTGCTGAGCTGTCGTGGTGGGAGCTGGAATCAACTTGAGTGGCAGTGGGGAAGAAGGAATGTAGTTGGCCTGAAAGATATAAAAATAGAATTTGCAAATGATTGGATATGGAGGCAGATGAGGGAAAAAATGAGCCCTGGAGGTATGGATAGATGGGGTGCCATGAAGTAAGACAAGGAACCCCAAGCAGCAGCAGGTAGAAACATACTTTCCTCTTCCTATAGCCTCTAAAGAAGAAGGCCCAGATCCACTAAGTGGCCTAGAAGGAGCTGGGCAGGGGGCTTCATCCACTGGGAACTCTGAGGATCCCTCTGTCCTCAAGAGGCTGCCCCTAGACATGAGACTGCTATTGATTCCCCTTGGACAGCCTGAAAGGGATGGGATGGTCACATGTGGCACTGGGCACTGGACACTGCAAACCCTGGGGTGCAGAATGAGGCTACTTGCCTGTGAACTAAAGAGAAGGGTTCCTGAGCCAACCACTTTTGCAGGGACTCTGGACCCTGACTCAATATGAGAAGGTGGCTCATGCCTTGTTCTTGCTCCCATAAGGCAGGCAGAGCAGGTTGAAGGCAGGGCTTTTCCTGGCAGACCCTGCTCACTCCTGAGGCCCAGGTAAGTGAATAGTTCTGACTGTGGTTAGCTGGAGACCTGAGTCCTGTCTTGGCCATGTAGGAAGCTGAAGAGCTGCTTGAAAGAGATCATATGCATAGTACACCAACACAGGCTCTGCTTTCTCTGAAAAGCAATTTCAAAGCCACTTCATTCTCCACCTGCATTTGGCTAATAGCCTGATTACAACCATACTAATAACCTTCAAACATTCTTGGGAGCAGCCTTGGCTCTGAAAGGTGTCACCTTCCTTTCTCCTTGCCCTATCTCATGCTTCTCTGTGACTGCAGTGAAAACAGCTGTGCATTCCTCCCAGGGCCTGAGTTACTTGGAGGAAAGGCAGATGGCTGTGGGCTAATTTCTAAAGTGCACTTCTGGGGACCATCAGCCTCAGTTCCCACTCAGGGCTACAGGTCAGAGCAAGAACAATTCTCCATGAATATGGATGCCAAGGATGGGAGCTGATTGCTTCTCTCCTGCAGGGCAAAGCTGTGGCCCTGGGGTCGGGGTGGGGGGGACATTTTTGCTGAGATACAGGGTCTAGGGAAGTGGTGTCCTCTGAGTCACAAGGCAGGACATTTTAAGATTTAGGATGCTGGCAACTTGGAGAAAGGTGTCACTACCAGGAGAAGCAGCACAGAGAGGAATTTGCGTCTGTCATACAGTCCCTCCATTAATTAGTGCCTCTTACTCTTACAGCACTGAATTAAGAGGTTGGATGGTCAAGGTGCTGAAAGGATTTTTGCAGTAGCTAAGAATTTGGATGGATGAACATCAAGGTGTCTTCCAATTTAAGAGGCTAGGTGTCCTCATTTGTGCCTTAGCTGATAAGCTGATATTATTCCCCCTGGGTTGCACTTTGTCCCTCTTTCCTATTGTCCAGATCTCACCCAATCTCTATGATTCAATTCGTGCCCCATCCACCTATTCTTTGAACCCTTTCCTGATGGCCCCAGTCCACACTAACATGACATTTACTGTCTGAAGATCTTAGTTACTTCAGTGGCCTCCAGGTGGGCACCTTATTATATGCTGCCATGTTTACTTGTTGCTATTCCTGGGCCTCATCTACTGTTACCTGGTGAGATTATGAATTACCTTGTGATCAGGGCCAACACCCTTTGCTGTCCATTCCTAGTTTCCTATGTCAAATTGGTGAGTGTTGAGCAGCCAGCGTTCTAAGGGATGAGTCCCCAGGATGCTCAGAGGGGCTGGGCATTTTCACTAGATGTCATTATCCCTGGGCTGTGGAATGCCTCACTCCAAGAGAGATGCCCCTGATGACAGGTCCACAGGCTTCCCTTTAGTGTCTCACGACAATAGGACTAGACATTTCCTCCCCTTCCTGTTCTTCCATAGCCCCTTGATAGAGCTGTGGAAGAGGGATGCATTCTGATAAGCTTTATTATTTGGCTGACTGGCTTTTTGTCTGGTGCAGCAGCCAAGATAGAGTGCTGTGCTCTGGCCTGATTTAGATGGTCTTTTACTAAAGATGGTACGTGTGGCACATGACAGTGATGGCCAGGGACAATGATTACCCATTTAGAGGCCCTGAACTATTCAGGGGCTTCCAGGTGGTGGTCATGGAAGACCTGGCCTTGTTCTCCGATTCCTTGTGGTGGTCACACTGAAGTCATCCCTTCTCCTTAGGATAGGCCATTGATCAAGTACCCAGTCAGTTAGATCTGAGGCATGGAGAAAAGAGAGAGAGAGAGACAGAGACTGACTGACTGACTGACTTTGGGACTGGAGTAGAGTAGAAGGAGTAGCTAGAGGTGAGACAGGAGCATAGGCTGATGCAGGCGGTTGATACACAGGTTGATACTTTTTCCTAAGGATTGCAGACTTGATCTCATCTTGGGTCCCATTCTCCAGGCTCTCATACCACCCCACTTGCTTATTCCCCAAATGCCATAGATGATCATAATGTTACAGCTTCGCCCAAGCCATTTCCTTTCCCTGAAAGACCCCTCAACATCCCTTTCATCAGTGTCCATTTGACAAATGCCTACTCACCCATTAAGCCTTAGCTCAAATATCACCAGTATTCTGTAGTATTCTTGGCCCCCAGAATTCCAAAATGCTTTTATAGTTCCTTTTACTTTGGCACTTTTCCTAGGAAGCCATACCCCGCTGTGTGCGGGTCTCATTGTGAACTCTTGAAGGGCTCAGACTATGCCTCATTTACCTTTGCATCTCAACACTACCCCAGTGCCTGACACATCATCGGTGCTCAATTCATGTTTGTTAAATTGCACTGAGTGAATTTCGATGGGAATAGGGAGCCACTGAGATGTTTTTAAGCAGGAAACAGATATATTTTTCTAGTGCTGGAAGCTTTTGACTGGGGACAGGGAAGTTATTGCAAATAGTGAAGGTCAAGTTCTGGACCTCAGCTAAGAGGAAGTAGGAAGGGATAGAGTGAACACAGATTTCACAGGATTTGATGGCAGGTGGGGCAGAGAGGCTGAAGGAGAAGGAGGGTTAGAGGTTGCCTCCTAGGCTCTTACGTGAGGAGGTGGGACCCAGGGGGTGCCATCAAGGGAGGCATGTCCTATGGAAGGAGGAGGATGTGAACATGTCCCAGAAAATAATGAAGTTTCTTCAAAGCCAAAGAAAAAGTCTAAGAGCATTCCTTTCCTAAAATTAGTAAAAGAAGCATCTTTCAAATGAGGAAATCTAAGTTCTAATGGTCAGAGCAGGTAGATTGGGCTGTTTGCATTCTTGGTTAAAGAAAGAGAATCCAGGCATCAGGGAAGGTCAGTTCATTTCAGCCACTTACTCTAAGGGCTGGAGCATTTAGAGGTCAAGGAGGGAGAGGAAAGGCTTTTTATCCTGGACCAATTCCCCAGCCACTCATGCAGCCTCTGCACTCTGCCTCAAGGTAGCTCATGCTAGGAGTCTTACTTCTGATCTTCCTTTTCTGTTTAAAGCGAGATGTATTCTGGGTTTTGAAAGCAACAAGCCCATCTGTTACTGGGGCCGATGGCTCAGGTTAGAGCACCACTCATCTTGCTCCTCCTGTGTCTCTCAGATGTGGAGATAGCAGCTCAATGGCATGAAGAAGTGGCTTTCTCCTGTGAGGGCTGTGCTGGACTCCTTCCAAGGACTTAGGACACGGAAGTCACCACGCAGTCTTGAGTTGCCTGATAGGTAGGCAGAGCTTCCAGCAGCATGTGGACCTGGAGCACTAGGGGCATTTTCATTACGTACATGGACAAAACTTAATCCAGCTTCCTTTAAATTAGATGTGTCTTGATGTTTCCCTGGTGACATTTCAGCTATTCCCCAGGTGTGATGGTAAGAACTGGAACTGGACTCAAGATGGGTGTTTTTCAGAGGTGGGGTAAAAAGGACCCAATATAGTGGTAGAAAAGGTGGGAGAGAAAGAGTAAATGGTCGGCACTAAGCTGGTGAATGCTGCAGGAATGCGGAACCCTGGCTATGTTTAAACGAGAGAATGCTCTGTTTCTTCTTTGCTCTGATGTCTGGAATTCAGCCATAGTGGGCCATCCTCAGCAGATCACATTTCAAACTTTCAACTTCTTCTCTCAGAAAATCTTCATATAGATATGAATTACATATGGCTATGAATAGAGAATTCTGGGCAAGAGAAATGATTGGTAACATTGTATCACTCAGGAGTTACTGATTATAATGAAGGCAATTCAGGCTCCATTGTTGTTGGCAAATAATATACCTGCCTGTTACAGCCCCCTGTTGGGAACTTCAGTGCAGATATGCATGAAGATGACTTTAGTAGCTAAAATGGGGTGCAGCTTCAGGTGCCTGGGGCCCTCTTCCTGCAGCCTCACTATACAGATTGCACTGATGTTCCAGAAATAAAAGGAAGGAGTTCTCTGAGCAGAGGCAAATGCTTCTACAAAGCCCATGTGTTTACTTCACCTGAAAGGCACAAGGCATCTCAGAGCATTAGACTGTCAAACTGGAGCCCAGATGCAGAATTTGGTGTAAATTAATATTACTAATATTTTGGATCTCCTCTGAAAATCATCAATTCTTGCCAAGATATAGTGGGCAGCAGGTTAGAAGCACTGAGAGACTGGAAAGGGGCAGTTGGATCCATCATGCTGAGAAGCCTTGATTGACAGTGAGGAAGAAGACAGCCAGATTTTAGCTCCCCAAATCTGTCTGCATCATGGGACCACAGCATGGCTCAAAGAACAAGTATCACATGTCTGTTATCACAAAACAATATCGTAACAGATAATCATTTTGATGATGTTTTTGCAAATAATTCTGTTCCAAATAGCTAAAATGAACAGAGAAAAGGGTTTATGTTTCAAGGTGTTGAAAGCATTCTATGAGATTACAGATGTGTTGCAATCTGTCTGCTGCCAATAGTATATGAAAGGAATGACATCATTGTGTTGGAAACCTGGATCCCTTTGCTACATATTATCATCATTTATTTTATTTCTACTACAGATAGGATAATGTTATTCAATGAAGACTCTGTATGTACTTTTTGGGAGGAGAAAAATACAATCTTGTTTTGTTGCTGGGAACTCCATATGTGGGTATAATATATCCCCCCATTACATGGCCAAACAGAGACATGTCTAAACTGGTTTTATAGGACCTGGAGGAAATATCCTATATAGAAAAACTGGGAGAATAAAATTTGTACTTTCAAGGAAAGGAAAGTAAAATGTGACAAGAGAGCTTTCCTCAATTGTATTCAAGGAGATGCGAATTTGGTGTGAGGCAGTTCACCTAGAATCTATGGAAGGGTCTAATGACTGAAAAACCAAATGGCTGCAGCCTCAGATTGTCTTGCTTGTGAGGCAGTTCTACAAGATAGCCACTGAAGACAGGAACGGGAGCCTCTGGCTCTGGCCGTCTGAGAAGACATTCTTGGAGCAGTTTAGGAAGGACGGGTGGGATGCCAGGCCAGAACGAGGACAGGGAGCCGAAAGCAAGTCGATCTGGGGCTCAGATAGGCTGGCTTGAAAATGGAACTGCTTTTAAAATATATTTATTTTATTTTAAATGGACACATAATAATTGCACATATTTATGGTGCACATTATGGATGTTTTGACACCTGTATACATTGTGTAATGATCAAATCAGAGTAATCTGCAAACTCATCACCTCAAACATGTATCATTTCTTTGTGGTGGGAGTATTCAAAACCTTCTCTTTTAGCTATTTTGAAATATATAATACGTTATTTGCGGAACTGATGGAGGTGGTGGAGAAAGGTTTCTTCCAGATGTCCTTCTGCAGGCAATCTGGACGGAGCTGGAAGCATGCCCATCCTTTTCCTGTCCTTGCTGCCTTCAGGCTACCAACCTATGAACTCTGTCCAAGAGCCCATCTCCTTCTGAAGGAACGTTGGTTGTCCTATCCTCTCCTCACCCTCAATGCCCTCACCTATGGACCTACAGGTCACATTTCCATATTCCCTCAGGACAAGGGCACCTGTCCCCAGCTTCAAGGGTCTTCCTCCATTCCACCTTCTGCTGTCATTCTGAGTAACCTCAATGTTCCCTGATGACCTACACAATCCCTGGTTGCCAGGGCCCTCACCTTCTCCATCATGACCCTTGTATGCCTCTCCAGTCCAGCTACCCCATGGCACACCCCAGATACTTCACAATTGCTCTACCTCTGAAACAATAAACTCTGAATGCTGCCTCCTACCATTTACCTACCTTACAGCCTATATTTCCAGATAACTCACTCCTAGGCTGCCAGCTGTATCCTCACCCTCTTTGGAAGCAGCTCTGGTATCTACTGGCTCCACACAGTTTCTCCACCCTGATTTGAATCCTTTGAAATCCTCAACACCCACCTCTCCCTTTCCAACCCCCATATTCATTGAGTCACCAGGGGCTTTCCATCCTACTGTAGCATCACACAAATCTTTCCCTCTCTGCACCCTCACTGCTAGGCCCTAACCTGGTTTGCGCCATCATGACCTGTCATTGGTATCTAGGTCTGACCTTTCTCAGTCTCTGTGCCCACTCCAGTCCCCCACACTGCACACTCTGCTCATGGAGTCCACCCACTGCACCCTCAGCAGGTGGGGGCTTTTCATGCTACCTCCTTCCCCACTTCCTCCTAGGGCAAATGAGTTTCCCTTTGCCATGTGCATTCTATTTGTTCCTATGCCCCTCTTACTCGCATCACAGTAGGTTGGTTACGTATCTGTATCTTCTACTAGAAGGTGTGGTCTTCGAGGACAAGAACCACTTTCACTCAACTCTCTGAGCTTAGTAGGTGGCATAACACCTGCCACGTGGCCAATCTCAATAAGCGCTCATAGACTTAAATGTCCTCAGATATACCTTCCATCAGATCTTCCCCCTGGGTCATTATCAGGGCAGCCCGGCCTCACTCTTAACTATCTTTTTTTCTGGGAGGAGACACACTCCTGCCTTCCTCTTTGCAATGCCAGTTGCTGGGGTGGTCACTCCTATTCTGCCATAACATGAGGCTGGGCCGTGGAGGGGGCGGGAGGAGGCAGCAGGGACTGGGGAAAGTCACAGAACACTGTGTGAGTGAACTGGCAGAAGTTCTGTGGGCTCACCAGCTGGCACCCTGGGAGAGAGCCAAAGAGAAAGTTTGTTTTTTCCTGCCCAAAGCTCAGAATCCTGAGAGCAGCCATGAGTCTGAGTGCTAAAGGCTTAGGAGTGAGAAGTGTCAAGGTCACCTCTGCTTTGTGCCTGACCGGGGAGGGGCATTGTGGATGTTGTATGTGTGTGTGGGTATTCCAAACCACTGGGCATGTCTGGATAGCTAATAGCATGCTTCCGCAGTAGAGCGAGAGGAAGATCCACTAATCCAATTTGTAATTTATCTTTTGGTTTGCTCCCAATGTTTTCCCTTTGTTTCTGGCTTGATGCATTTATCTGAGGGCTCAGTGAGTTCACCTTGGCAAAGTCTTGCATGAATAGGAGCATTTCACTCAATAGATCAGCTCACAGTCGTGCGTGTGTGTGCACGTGCATGTGTGTGTATATGCAGCTTTCTTAACCCCTAAGTGAGGGCCTCCCTCCCGGGAAGAGAACCCAGGATTGGTTGCTGCAGAACAGCTTTGTGAGGGTGGCAAGCAGAAAGCCAGCAGAAGGGGTTGGAGCTGGCTTAGAGAAATTCTGGCCGCAGTCAGGCCACAGCTCACAGACTGGGGTAGATAGAAGTGGGCATCTTTGGTTGGAGAAGAAGTGAATAGGAGATATTTATCTATTCTGGACTTCAATTTGACCCCCTTCCCAGAATCCTAGTGTTCTCAAGCTCAAAGGAAACACAGGGGCATCTGGTTCAGTGGTTCCCATCTGCCTGTGGGTCAGAATCATCTAGAATTACTTGTTAAAAATGTAGATTCCTGGGGTCTTTCTCAAACTTCCTGATTTGCAATCTCTAGATGTGGGGCCTGGGACTCTTTCTGTTAAGACATTTGCCGCAGATAAACTGGGTTACCAGCTGCCTAAGGCCACACTACTAGTGGTGAACCCAAGTCTTCCCACTCTCCATCCAGGGTGTTTCTTCTTAGAGCTCAAGTGTCCCTGGGGCTTAACGCTTTAGGAAACAAGGCTTCTATTGGACACAAAGTGGGTGTGTGAATAGCTCTCTTATGCTGCTGACCAATAATCTACCTAATTAAATTCCTTTTTTCCTATAAGGAAGGGCTCAAGGGCTTTAATCTCCAGAGTGGGCAGAGACAGCCGAAATGGACCACTCGCTCTGGGATGACCTGGCATCTCCTGATCCTGTCTTTGGCACTAGGCAGGATTCAAAGTCCTTTGTGGCTGCCTTCACTCACTTTCTCTAAGGACCAGCCCTGTTCTCTTGGTGACTTCGAAAAACAGGCTTGGATTCTTCCTGATCTGTAGCTAGCTCTTTTTTTCTCTCTCCTTCCCTCCCTCTCTTTTTCTTTCTCTCTTCCCCCTCTCCTTTCCTGTTTCCCTCCCTCCCTCCTTCCCTCTTACCTTCTCTTTCTTTTTTTCTGTTTTTGTTTTTAGCAGCTTTACTGAAATGTAATTCACATACCATACAATTTATTTGTTTAAAGTATGTAAGTCAATGATTTTAAGTATATCCACAGAGTTTTGCACAATCTCCACATCACTACAATAAATTTTAGAACATTTTCATCACTCCTCAAAGAAACTCCATACCCATCAGCAGTGATTTTTCATTTCCACCCCACCTTGTTGTCTCTAGGCAACAACTAGTCTACTTTCTGTCTCTATCAATTTGCCTATTCTGGACATTCTTTGTAAATGGAGTCATACAATCTATAGTCTTTTGTGACTGGCTTCTTTCACTTAGCATAATGTTTTCAGGTTTCATCCATGTTGTGATGTGTATCCATACTTCATTCCTTTTTATTGCCAAATAATATTCCATGGTATGAATACGTCACATTTTGTTTAACCCATTTACCAGTTGACAGACATTTGAATTGTTTCCATTTTTTGGTTATTATGAATAATGCTGCTATGAACACTTGTGTTCAAATTTTTGTATGGCTGTATGTTTTTATTTCTCCTGGGTATATACCTATGAATGGAATTGCTGGGTCATAGAGTAACTCTATTTTTAAGCTTTTGAGGAAATTTCAGACTGTTTTCCAAAGCGGCTGCAGCATTTTACATTACCACCATTTTATATTCCAGAACTCTACATTCTGACACTTGTTAAAATCTGCCTTTTTTATTATAGCCATCCCAGTGGTTGTGAAGTGGTATCTCATCATGGAATTTATTTGCATTTCCCTAGTGGCTAATGATGTTCAGCATCCTTTCCTGTGCTTGTTGGTTATTTGTGTAGCTTCCTTAGAGAAATAATCTGTACAGATCCTTCACCCAGCATTTAATTGCATTATTTATTTGTCTTATTACTGAATTTTACAAGTTCTATATATATTCTAAATATAAATACCTTGATAGCCAGATATTTTCTCCCAATCTGGGATATCTTTTCACTTTATTGATGGTGTTCTTTGAGCCACAACAGTTTAAAAATTTTGTTAAAGTTCAATTTGTCTATTTTTTTCTTTTGTTGTTTTCATTTTTAGTGTTTTACCTAAGAAACCATTGCCCAATCCAAGATCGTGAAGATTTACTTCTATGTTTTCTTCTAACAGTGTGATAGTATTAGCTCTTCTATCCATTTTCAGTTAACTTTTGTATAAGGTGTGAGGTAGGGAATCAAATTTCATTTTTCTACTTCTGTTTCATTTAGTTATTCCAGCACCGTTTGTTGAAAAGATGATTCTTTCCCCTATTGAATTGTTTTGACACTCTTGTTAAAAATCAGTTGGCTATAAACGCATGGGTTTATTTCTAGACTCTCAATTCTTTTCCATCTATCTATATGTCTCTCCTCTTACCAGTACTGTCCTGTCTTGATTACTGTAGCCTTGTCATGAGTTTTGAAATCAGGATATTTCTACTTTTTATGCCCACCTTTCAGCACACACAGCAAGGCTGGGTGTGGCGTCAGTGGAAGTATCTGACTAGATGGGCTAAGGACATTTCAAGGAGAGTAAAGACCATGGTAAGCATAAGACCAGGAGTCAGGGACCCTAGTCTTTAATCCTTGCCCTGCCATAAGCCTGTATAATCTTATGTAAGTCACTGGATGTTTCTGGGCCTCTGTTTCCCGTTCTGTAGAATGAAGGCTCTGGGTTGGTTGATTGTTAAAGGAATTTTCAATTCTAATAATCTGGAGGCATGGGGGATTCAGTTTACATAGGAAAAGTCCATCACAGGACCCTCTAATTTTATAGCTAAGCATTCATAGACTTTCACTTACTTGAAACTTAGGTATGGGAGAGGAAATGTACAAGATATGTCTGGATTATGCTGTCATACCAGATAGCAATGAAATTCCCAAAGATTATCAAGGTCATGTCTAAAGACTCAGGTTCTCACTGGCCAAAGATGGGACACTTTGGACGTCAATAAGGACAATAAATGCAATGGATCAAAATATATTTAATATATTTAAATTCATGAGTTCATAATGCTGCTTAGCAAAACTCCAATTATTTGGAACTTGTGAATATTTAGATCTCTCGCTGAGGGGACCCCTGGGTCATCTCCTCCAGTTGACCTGGTTTTCATGGCTATCTCACTCTACCCTGGATCCCCATGTCCCTGGGGTCTGTTCCAGCACTGTGTTTACAGTTAGCTTTTATCACTTTTCTAAATCTGTGCTAATCTATTTGGAGAAGGCATGGGAGAACTCCAGAGTAATTGGTAGGAGCCGGTCAACCTGGAGTTGCACCAAGCACTGCCTACTAACTGAATAGATAACGCCTCACTCTGATATTCACTATTGCTTATACTATCATGTAACCACTACCAAAAATCAAGACAGAGAATAATTCCATTACCCCTTTGTGCCCCTTTATAGTTCCATTTCCCACTCTGATAAGTACCATTACTTCCCTTTGTTTCCTAGTACAGTTGTCCCTCAATATTCATTAGGGGGTTGGTTCCAGGACTGTCCCCTTTTCCCACGGATACCAAAATCTGAGGAGGCTCAAGTCCCTTTTATAAAATGGTGTAGTATTTGTCTGTAACCAAAGCACATCCTCCTATATACTTTACATTATCTCTAGATTGCTTATAATACTTAATACAATGTAAATGCTGTGTAAATCATTTTAATGCTATATTGTTTTTTAATTTGTATTTTTACTGTTGTTATTTTTTAATTTTTAAAAATATTTTTCATCATGGTTGTTGAATCCGTGGAAACTGTGGATACAGAGGGCTGACTCTAAGTAGCTTCTATTAGATGAAGAAAGCATACATTCTCTTCAATGTGTGGGTTCTATGATCATATGCTTTCTCAAACGGGCTCACAGATTTTGAGGGTTTAAAAAGGTGACTTTTTAGTGAAGAAGTATGTCCCACCAGCCCGAGGGGCTGGGTGGTGGTCATGACCTAGACGCTAAGCTCTGCTCCTCCAACTCTCTCTGCTCTTCCCACTATAGGCCTCAGTTTCTTTATGGATAGAACAAAAGGCTGAGCAATGTGCTACCTAGACATGCAACAGTGTGCACTGAGCTAAGCAAGGGAAGATGGGCTAAGGTCACATAGTGTATAACTCCTTGTTCATTCGTTCCCTCCCTCCCTCCCTCCCTGCCTTCCTTCCTTTCTTCCTTCCTTGACAAGTCTCACTCTGTCGCCCAGCCAGCAACTGTGTGATCTCAGCTCACTGTAACCTCCACCTCCTGGGTTCAAGTGATTCTTGTGCCTCAGCCTCCTGGGTAGCTGGGATTACAGGTGCCTGCCACCACGCCGAGCTAATTTTTGTATTTTTGGTAGAGATGGGGTTTCACCATGTTGACCAGGCTGGCCTCAAACTCCTGACCTCAGGTGACCCGCCCACCTCGGCCTCCCAAAGTGCGGGGATTACAGGTGTGAGCCACTGTGCCTGGCTTGTATGTGGCTTTCTAAAAAAGGCAAAACTACAGGGTCAGAAAACAAACCAGCAGCTTCCAGGAACAGAGGGGTAGGGGGAAGGAATTAACTATAAAGGGGCACAGGAACGTTTTGGGGTATGAAATTATTCCCTATTTTGATTTTCAGTGGGGGTTATATGATTGTATATGTTTGTCAAAACTGATAACAATGTTGTAATATAAAACGGTGAATTTTAATGTAGGTAAATTATAGCTTAATAAACAAACTAAAAGTCACACACACACACACACACACACACACACCCCAGAGAATCTCACAGGTTCCTCCCTGTGTTAATATTCACTGTTCTCTACTGAGGGTGCGATCACAGGCAAGGGCCACAGGAAGAGATATCCAGGGACTTGTCTCATTTTTTAAACGTCCGCTCCCTGATCCCTCCTACCCCTTCCTAACCCAGAGCCATCCTGTGATGTAATGGGAGAAAGAGAAGAACCAGGCTTTATTTTCTTGGTTGGAAATTGTAGGAACGAGGCTGCCCCTCCCGTGGAGGTCCACGTGTTCCCTTGGACGCCAGGTGTTCTCAGAGGACGGAGGCAGGTCCTTGTCCTAGGTCAGAGGGCAGAGTCACTGGCCTGAAATTGAGTATTTTGGAACAAGAGCTCAGAGTCCAAATCTCACGGAAGTAGCCATGAGGTCCGTCAGACAAACGGGGATCTAGATGGGCAGCGGGAATCTGCACTGTTTCCATTTTCCATGTGGGGTCTGGGGAGGGCGCCTCCGGCCCGCCACTCTGCTGTTTCTCAGGCCTAATGCAGGGTTATTGATGGAGGCCACCCAAGTGACACACAGGGAACCAGGTCCTCACTGGGAAGAAGGGAGCCAGGGGCTTGTCAGAGGCAGAGAGAGGCCGCTGCCCACACAGGCAAACAAAGCCTACAGCCTCGAGGTTGGCGGGAAGGGCAGCTCTCAGGGGCCAGGCTGCCAGGGAAGTTGTCCGTCTGGCAGGGATTTGCAAACATACCCTCCCTTCACCGCCTTTCAATGCCTATCTCAGACATGGCTCCAGCTAACACCAGCACCCATTTCGTGAACATTTACCATGTGTCAGGCCCAGGCTAAGCCCTCTAGATTAATTCACAGCCACCCGAAGATTTTGAAATTCTCATTCTTGTTTCACAAATGAGGACACTAAGGCTCAGAATGAGGGTGGCTCTGGGGCTCTGCACTCAGGGGCTGTTACTTCGTTTTGTCTGCTGAAATAAGCCAGACCTGGCCAGGAGACACCTCAGGGCTCTGAGGAGGAGAACCGAGCCCACACTTCAAGCGAGGAAGAGCGTACCAGAGAGCTCTGTGACAGATGGAGCTCACGTGGCTACACCCGACACCCCAGGCCCCTTTAAAATAAGCCAGATTCCACAGCCTCTTTTTGGCCAGGGGGCCCTGCTCCTCTGTGTATGGGGTCTGGGGCAGATCCAGTAACCCCCATTGTGGGCGCTGAAGGGCTGTGTACAGGGAACGGGCCCAGCTGCAGGTGTCGGAAGTCCCACGACGGGGGTCAGGGGTTCATATGGGTGTTTCTGTGAAGGAAGGGTGGCGGAGGGAGAGCCTGCTGGGCAGAGCTCTGTGGGCCCAGGAGGGGATATGCCTCTCAGAGAACTACTTGGGTTTGGAGGTTGCCACATCCCAGGAAAAGTTCTAGGATCAGAGACACTCATCAGAGGCCCTGGTGGTTCCTCAGAGGCTGGGATCAATGAACAATTGGAGGCTGGCAGCAAAGGAGAGGACAGCTTCATGCCTGTTATGCCACAGGTCCCCAGAAGGGTGTAGGGAGAGAGGCAGCTGTCAGGATGGCTCTCATTCTTGGACCGGCACAGCTTTTTGTGTTATAACTGGTAGCCTCAAATCTCCATCTTGATTCTGGACCTGAAAGCAGAGCCCTGCTCGTGGCGGTCAGGGTAGAGTGCATGCACAGCAACAGCCCGATAAGCAAAGATTCTGGAACTAAGCCAGATGGTCCAGCTGAGAAGGCAGGCGCAGCTTGGGTTCCCTGGAGGTGGTGGCCATGGTCAAAGAGGACAGGCTCTTTTGGGGATGGACCAGGACGTGAGGTGGGACATGTTATGGACCTGAGGCAGATGTGACTTGATCTTAACTCTGTGGGGCAGAAAATCCTGCACAAGGGGGTGGCCCAGGGATTGAAAGATGAGTTGGTTCCCTTCTAGCTGTGACTGGAGTCCCATTTTCATGCCTCTGAAATCATTTCTACCTTTAGGAGCAAAATTTCTGCCACTGAAGTATGCAGCTAGGTGTTGGCTTTCTCATTAATAGAGGGATTGCAGTACACTAGCACTGCCTTTTTACCTTGCGCTCATCCTCCTCTTGTCAGCCTGACGCTCAGGCTCTCAGAGTCCAGCTGCTTTGGCGTTAGTGGGAAGTGCAACTGTCTGTCGCTCAGGAAACCGAGACTCTGTGTAAGAAGCACCGTCTGTATGCAGCAGACTTTGACCCTGGGATCTTATTCAAGAGGGTGTCAGAGCAGCCACAGGGTTTTGCACCTGAGTACAGACAATGGGGTCTGGAGAACCCCCCAGCCAAGGAGACCCTGGCAGAGTCAGGGACTTCAGCCTTATGGTGACACCACTGTCTCTACCTACCAGGATGAGTCCAATGCCCCAGAGATCTGGTTTTTCTGTGCTGCCTGGCAGCCTGGTTGGGAGTGAGAAGGAAACAGGTGTGTGTGTGTGTGTGTGTGTGTGTGTGTGTGTGTGTGTGTGTGTGTGTGTGATAATGGGGAAGGGTGGAGTGTGGGGAGGGGTGGTCGATTTTTCTAGAGGTACATCCTGCCCAACGAACCCCCAAACCAAGGAGCCACACAGAGTTAGCTGGATTGAAGTGGGTTCAAGTCATTTATTTTTAGACTGTACCAGCATGTTTGGTTCTGGGGTCCAATCCCCAAATTCCAGAAAAATAAACTAAAGAGAACCACATGCACTAAGAGGAGGCCATTCCGATGAGTCCGTGATCATGCGGTGAGTGGGCTTAGAGTATAGAACAGGGACCCCTGGTATGGAGCAGGGCCTTCCCTCCCCAGACAGCTGACAGCAGCTGGCTCTGAGCCCTCATCGGGGCTGGGGAGAGGGCCAAGTCCTGGTCATTTGGACCCTGTCCCCGTATAGACCCGGGCCCTTTATTGCTACATTTGCTACTTTGCTACTTTATGGCCCCTGGGTCTAGCCCAGGGGATGCCTTATCACTGGGTGGTACTAATGAGTAGGTTGCTGGCATCTGCTGTTGCTATGGTTACACGAGCACAGGCCTCTCTTCAGAGGGTCCCATGGTGAGTTATTAGTGATTCGTCTGGCCACTATTCAACTTATCCCATGGTCTTTGCTACATATTCAACTTGGGCAGCTCCTTTTTGAGGCTGGTGGTGCATTATCTCCCCCCGAGCCCAGAGTTTCCCAGCTCCTGGACCTTGCAGCAACACCTCCCTCCAATACATTCTGCAGGGCCCAAAGGAAGAGAGCCCTTAATCCTTTCCCTCTTCTGGGAAGGCTTTCCTGGTGGTGGTTTTTGAAGCACATGTATATGGAGCAGAACAGGAGGGATGCATTTTAGGAAAAACATCACCTTCCACAATCACCAAGGGGGCCAGTTGGGTGGCAGGCTCCTGGTTCAGCGTCCTGTTGGTGAGGTAGTTTGAAATCCCAGGAATCCTGCCAGGGAAGAAGCCCCTGGAGCATGTCCCCATGTGTTCAGCTAGTCCAAGCTGCAACTCAGAGTCGCAAGAGGTCCCTCCCAGGATGCTGGCCCGGTACCTGACCACTTAGCGGTGGTGAGCCTGGAGCGCAGGCCCAGCTGACTGCACTGGCAGTTGGGCCCTGCTTTGTTCCTGGGGTATAGCAACACCTTCCCAGGAGAACAAAGCTGACGCATCACTTTCTAGAAGGGCAGGAGGCTCCTCCCCAGCCCAGAGAGTTCCTGCTGCTTAGTTCAGGCCATCTGGCTGCGGCTGGACGTTTATATGTGCCAGCCTACAAGCTTTCCTCTTCCCATGTAGGGAAAGGTTATTTTAGTCAGATGCCAGTGCCTGGTGCCTTGTGTGTCTAACCCGACGGGTGGGTGGTCACTTGCTGCAGCTGCCCTGATGCTGTGGTTGTGGGGCTGCCAAGATGTGGCTGGAGAGCACTTTTCCTCATAGGGAGGAGTCCTAGGCCCAGAGACCACACCCAGTCAGGGAGGCTAAGGCAGCTTCTAGGGGGAAGGGACGGGGTAGGGGAATTTGCTTTGCTACAGAATTGCCTGCAAACATCTAATCTAGTCTGAATTTTTGGCTGTGTAGACCAGGCCAATGGGGGACGGGCCAAGACCAGATTTTCCAAATGTACTTGCATGACCAAGTTCTGCGTGGTAGATGGACCTTGGATAGGCAGCCTCGTTCCACTCCCTTCTTGCAAAGCTTCTGGCTTGATCTACTGGGGAACATGAGTGCCTTAGCTGTGGGGTGGTGTGAGAGTATTATTGCTCTGGGTTTGAGTCCATCTGAAGTCTCCCTAGCTCCGTTGTGCTTACTGACCCTCCCCTCTGGATGTCCCCAGAGGTGCTTGTAAGCCTGCAGCCAGCTCCATCTCAGGGCCACAGTCCACCTGGCTCTGGTCAGATCCTCTGGGGATCTCCAGGGTGAGACCAGTCAGAAGGAGAAGGGGGCACAGAGGGAATGGCCAAGAAGCCAACCCTGCCCTGTCTGCAGCCTGGCTTAGAAAGCCCCTGCATCATGGGGAGGAGCAGGGGGCAGCCAGGCCCCTTGCCCTGGATAACTGAGGGCACTGAGGTGCCTGCTGCTTGGGAACACCCTTTGCCCTATGCCTAGGGGTCAGCACAGCCCGGGGATCCTTGGGCAAGGCTGGGGGCAAATGAACTTAGACTGTAATTTTGTTCTGAAACATGAGGTTTATACAAAGAGAAAGAGGATGAAAGGGGCCTGTCAAAAGACCCCATAACTTGGAATGGGGCTTTATGCCATTGATTTACTCATCAAGTGGTTAGTGCCTCCAAAGTACCAGCCTCTGTGCTGAGCATGTGCAGGTGTCCAGCAAGAATTGCTGCCTCTGAGACACTGAGGACTCAACATCTGTCATCTCTCTGGTTTCCACTGTACCTCCAAGAGAGGAACCATTGCCAGTGGGGGAAACTTGGGCATGGTAGTCAAGAACTCACAAGGATACAACATAACGAAGACTCCTAATGCCCGCGATGGCACTGCTGTGAGGGACAGAAGGCTGGTGCCCTGGGGACAGGGCTGTGTGGAAGCAGACATAGACAGGACTTGGAGGTGGTGGGGTGGAAAGATGGGTCACTGGGGAGCACCCAGGAGGCCGGGTCTGCAAATAAGCAAGCATCTGAGCCTTTGGTCACCAGCTGGCGAATTTGGCTGCATGAGAAAAGAAATACCAGCGATCGCTTTATTGCTTCTATGTTTTTTGTTTATATGCTCCCAAGAGAGATTTTTTTTTTTACCTATGACCAAAAATAGATCAAAGGAGGGTAGTCATAGCAAGTGGGGGAGTGAATGTCTGGATTCAAAACAGGTTACTTAATACAGCTCTGTCTGTGGGCTCATGGGTGTCACAATAACAATGACAATGATGATAGTATTAGCTACCGTTTGCTAAGCACCTACTGCGTATCAGGCACCTGACTCGGTGCTTTACATACATTACCTCACAGCCAGGTTGGCAAATGGTCATTTTGACACACACACACAGGGAATACAGGTGGATCTTTTGCAGGTTTTTGCATTTCCCCTAGGTGACCGGTTTAGAGGGGTGCTTTGGCTGGGCCTTCAGATAAAGACTGGGAGGAGAGCCCTGTGGCCTGGCCTGGTCCCTTCGTAGCATACTCTGCCCCAGCTTCACACACAAAGGAGACCTGACCCAGCAAGGGTCTCACTGTGCCTGTCAGGATGCCACCACGTGGGGGCTGCCAGCCCTGCAATCCAGCCACCTCCTGGGCTGGGGACCCTCCCAGCTCCCACCTGGGGCTGCCAGAGGGGAGAATCCCAATGGCCCCTGAGTTCATGGCCATGTTTATTTTGAGTAAAACATGAGGGAATAAACCAAGGAGCAAGGGGGCAAAGCCAGAATAAATTATGAAATAATTTTCTAAAAGATGGTCAGCAGAATCCCCGCAGCTGTGAAACAAAAAGCTCTGTCATCTACAACAGTGCTTCCTCGAACGCTGGACCCTTGAGACATGTGACGGGACCTGAGGGCAGCCACCGGGCTGGCGGGGACCTCTCCGAACGCTGATCTCAAAGAGGGTGGAAAGACCTTGAGGCGGGGCAATCCGTGAGGTTGCTTTCTTGCTGAAGATGTGATTTGGACATTTTACGTGAAAGCAGTGCCTGGTGCTGGCAGTGACACCCGGGTGGCCACAGAGACGTGAGGGATGACAGGCGGCGGTGGGGATGTAGTGGCTGTAACTATGGGAGGTGCCAGGGAGGTGATGCAAATGCTGGATGTGCTCTCGGTCCACTCATGCCTCTTGAATTTGCCAGAAGGTGTGACCGTCTCCAGACAGCGAGGGAGTGAGGATAATAATATAATCTCAAGTGATAGTCGTGACAGGAACCCCACGACGTGTTCTCCCCTGAATGAGCTGGGATCAGGGCCTCTTAGCGAGTGGAGTGTTGGAATACAACTGTACAAAGAAGAGAGGGCTGTAAACAGGAGCCTCCACCGGGCCCAGCCCAGGCTCTGTGGACTCTTTCTTTCTGGTCTCCCCATTCACCCACCGAGTCTCCCCACCATCGCCCTTCATTGCCCTCACTCTTTCTCCTTCACAGTGACCAAGTCTCCTCGTAAGGAAACTCTGTCCGCAGATGTGGAGCGCCGCCGCCTGCCTGTGGGGTCCGCGGGCCCAGGCCCTGGACCTGCGGTAGGAACGGTCAGGAGGACTGCATCAGGCCCGTGAGGCGCTTGCCCGCCAGCGACTTTCCCTGCAGAGAGACAGCGACAGAGAGGCACGCACAGGCGCACACACAGAGGGACAGAGACAGAGAGCCAGACAGGTGAATTAATTGTTGCATGAGCCATGTAGGCCAAACGACCAACCAACCCAACTGACCATCTTGATATTTGATCTCTAGGTGTATGGGAGCCTTAACTTTGGACAGCTGGAGAAACCAGGGCTCCAGGGAAGGTTCAGGGAGTCCTGGAGGGTCCCCTTATGAGGGTGTGTTGTTGGTACTCTTTTTGTGGTATGGGAATTTTACTTACCAAAAACCAGGTATTTAAACCTTTAGGTAGAGCAATTTTTAATGCCGGCGGGCTGCCCTGAAATTGATTTTGTTCACGTGGGGGAGGAAAAGGTGGACTTGGGGTGTTCTGAGATCAGGGACGGGGGCTTGACTCAAATAGAGGGTGGCCAAGGATCTGGCTGATCAGAAGCTAATGAATGAACTAGTCTTAAGAAGGCAGAGTCCTGTTTGGAATGCAGGGTAGACACAAAGACCTTGAGTCCTCTTGATGACCAGTTCTGGGACCATGAAAGTGGGGGGCATTTGCTGGGGCTCAGAGCCACTGTAGGCCCCAGGGCAGTGCACTCCTGCTGTCTCCTATGTTCTTGGCTTCCCATCTGTGGCACCCAGAGGCAGAGTTTGATGACCCCATACCAGGAAAGCCTACAAGCCCTTCAACTATAACCCATGTGGCAGTTCTTCTCAAAAACTAAAACAGTGAACTGGATCATGAGGCCTGGTGCATCAGCCATAGAGGTGCCAGGAGAGTCCCGTTGTGTATGTGCCCTGGAGAGATGGCGGAGAAGCCCCTGATCTAGGAGGGGAGTTGCGACTGGGCACCAGGAGGAGGGTGAGGGGCACGAGCGAGGCTCCGTCGCTTTGCTTATTGCCCTTACATAGTGTGTGCCCGTTCTCCAGCTCACCCTCTTTAGAAATCCGCATCATTGCACAGGGCTTTAGAGGACAGTATGGCTAGACCCAGGCAGATTGATCACTGTGTCTGGGAAAGCACTCCAAACCCATATTATTGACAGTGGGTCAGCGACACCACCGCCATCTGTGAAGGGCAGCACGTGATAGCTCGTCAGCATGGGGCTGCAGTGTTTGGCCGTGAGATTGCAAGGGCCAGCGATTCCTCATGTTCATTTCCAAGTGGGGTGTGAGGGCTCGTCTTGTTTACTGGGCTTGGCTGCGTGTAAGCTAGATGTAATTTAAAAAATTGATCAGGTTTGTGAAGCCTGGTAGGGTCCTCAATAAACCTGCTGATTGATGAATTGATGGATAACGGGTTTATCTAATAAACAACACGGGCTGTGGATTTGCTGGATACAGGACAATGTGGCATCTGGCTTAGATCTCCATGGAGAGGCATGGCCAGCCTGACTTTGAGAATTCTGGTGCTATAGATGGGAGTTTGTCCAAAAATGAAATTGCCCTCAGGAGCTGTCAGAAAGTCTGCCTTTCCCTACCTCTCCTTGACCTTTTTCCTCCCCATTGCTTTCACTCCCCATTTTCACTAGTGAGACAAAACTTTTCATTTTTTCTCCCCATCTTAAACACACACACACACACACACACACACACACACACACACACACGTCCACAAAATCACCCCATCAGCAACCTTATCTGAATCTTCAAGTGCACTAAACTTAGCCTGCAGCAGGATACATTTATACTTGGCTAAGGAGTTTTTAATCAGATTTTTAAAAAATCCAAGAGGGTTATGGTGTCAGTCTTTGAAAATCACTAAGAATGACTACTCCTTTGTCTAGACCAGGTTAGGTACAACAATAGCTCTTAGAAGGCAGAGGCTGACCTTCAAGGGCTCCCCCCAGCCCCGGGTTCTGTGGCACACACCCAGCGGTGACTCTCCTTGAGTGCCCTTTCTTACATAGAGTGTGAGGCATTTGTCACTCGGGAATGTGCCTTCCTGGGGCAGGCCTGAAGGCAGGAAACATGGGGGTGTGGGGCATCCTTGCTGGGGAAACACGGGGCTGCTGAGCCTAGGGGCCTCCTTGTGTGAGAGCTCTTACAAACCTCCCCTACCCCCGGTTACCTATGTCCATCCCTGTCCTATGAAAGGCACAAAGGAAGTTTGCTCTCCTTTTAGGTGCCACTTATTGCTGTGATAACCACCACACACCAATATCAGGTCCTCCTCCTCCTCCCATCCCTCCTTCGCCAGGGCCACAAATCACACATTATGTACCCAAATATATATGTTCTGAGTTTGCTATCCACAGCGTTTGGGGCTCTCATTTAGCTGGTGGATGGGAAAAAAAAAATCACTCAAGCTTCTGAATAAGAGTCTGTTGCCAATGAGTACATTCAAAGCCCAGAGACAAAGGAGGTGAGGTTTACCAGTTGCCCAAACCTTCACTGCAGCCTCATTCCTATTAACAAGGTTATTTTGGCTGGAGAGGGGACTGTGGGTTGAGGGAGGTTGGAGATTCTATTTCTGGAGGATTATGTGTCTATTTGTTTTAGGTGAA
This sequence comes from Homo sapiens, assembly GCF_000001405.40. NCBI lineage: Eukaryota > Metazoa > Chordata > Mammalia > Primates > Hominidae > Homo > Homo sapiens. The sequence goes on along the minus strand of NC_000014.9, from coordinate 72,559,900 downwards.
TTTGGCCCTGAGGCTTCCATACCCTCAACCCTTCCCCTTTCTACAGAATGGGCTGGGCTGGGCTGGGCTTGAAGGTGCTAATTATTCTCTTCCTGACTAAATCCTGGAGCTCAGCCTCACCGCTCTGACTCCAAGGACCTGTGGCCAGCCTGTCACTGCCCGCTCCTCGCTTCCCCCGACTGCTTTTATTTCCCAGGATTTCAGGGTAGGATGGTGCAGCTGACCAGCTTAGGGGCCACCCTTGGGATTGTTCCCAACCTCTCAGCAACCCAGGCGGTGCTGCTTGGCATTTTTGTCTCCCTCTCCCCACTCCTGCTTTCGCGCATTTACCAAATGCCAGCTTGCTGCTAAAGATGGAGGTCATGAGGGTTCAGGTCGGCTTGAGAGGCAGCTCAGCCCAGCTGCAATCTACTCGCTACCCAGTGACCTCCCGCGTGAGTGAGGGCAGGCTCAGACTGGAAGGCGGTTAATCATGCAGGATGCGGGCATGGGTAGATGCCTGGCCCGGGGCTTTGGGGAAGAAATACTGCAATCACACTTGCTCAGCAGCTGCTTCCCTTCTGAAGAGCTGAGACTCCTGTAGTTTTCAGTGATCAAAGTGAAATCTGATAGTAGAGGCTACCTGTGTTCAGAGATGAGCTGCCCCAAAGTGCATGCCCCTATAGGCTTGCAGGAAGCTCCCGAGGAATCCGCTGTGCCCAGAGAGAGGGGAGCTCCTGCCTGTACCCTCCAGGGCACTGCCCCGTCTCTTTACTCTCATCTCTGTCTCCAGTTTGGATGATCCTGAAGGAACCACTTCAGAAGGGGAATGGTAATTCTGCCTGCCTGTGTCTGGCATTTGCATAGTTACAGAGGAAGCAGGTTTTTTTCAGGGTGTGAGTGTGTAATGTTCCTCAGTGTTGGTCAGTTGGGAATGGATCATGGTGCCAGGAAACCGCAGCCAGCTCAGCCCGAGGCCTTGGCGTAGCTGAGCGAAGCAGCTGAGGATGGTTGAAAATGCTATTAGCAGGCAGCCTTTGTCCAAGTGAAAAAATATACAGTGATTAAGAACTGAGCTGCAGAAGGTACATTCCAGAGACACCAAAGCTTTGCATACCGACAAAGTGCTTTTCACCTTTGAGACATTTGGCAAAGTGTAATCCAGTAGAATTTGGGATCCTTCAATTTCATGGACCATGGGCTCAGTGCTGGGTTCACTAACACCCACACATTCAATTCCCACCCTCCGCTCTGATTAATCATTTCAGCTCTGTGGCCATCTTGATGGCTAGGAGCCTGGAAGAAGGTGGTCATGGAATCCTTTGTTTTCTGAAAGGAAACACACAAAAGGAATAGCCCCCTTTTGTGCAGTGAGAAAAATCAACATGCTGCTTGACATGCTGTGGCTCTGTGCATTGCACTTCCACATATTAATCAACAAAGCATGCACTATCTGGGTTACCAAGAGCTTTTGCCACTTACTTACCTGGGAGACTGATGCTAAACTCTTTCTTTGGCTGGGAGGAGGGCTGTGGCTCAGAGAGTAGCCCTGGGGGTCAGATTGGGGCATACTGGGGGACAGCAGAGCCAAGCACTAGCGGCTCAGGGAGGATCTTTTTCAATGCTAAGAGAGTAAAGACATCTGAGCTTCTGATGAGATTCTTTTGCTGATCTGCTCAGATGAACTAAGACCGAAGTTACAGATCTCAAGTCTGCCAAATCAAAATCCAGGCTATTATGGGGGAAAGAAATCAACCACGGTTGCCCCTGGGGGAGAAGGATGAAATTGATTGGAAAGGGACATGAAGGAGCCTTCTAGGGTGATGGGGTATACGTTACACGGGTGCATACACTTGTCAAATTCATTGAGCCATGTACTTCAGGTCTGTTCATTTTACCGTGCATAATTATATCTCAAAAGAAAAAAAAAATTAGGACAAAAAAAAGTCCCAGCTATGACATCTATGCCTTGGAATTTCCCACTCCTTACCCTTCTTCAGTTGCTGGGCCCATCCCTGGGTTTGGAGAAATTCAATGCTTCCCCCTCCAGTACAGGAGGAACCTGGATTCCTCTGTTGGGGAATTCGAACTCGCAACAGAACTAATGTGGAACACTATTTCTAGCCTCCATTGATGCAAACGGATCCCTTTGGTGTGACACACAGGCATTTTCCATCCCTGCTCATGAAAAATCGTGTTTCGTTGAATACAGCTCACCATGCAACTTAGCAGGCAAGAAGTGGAGGCCCCAGAGAGAGATGAGTCGTGCTCTCAAGGAGCCTGAAGGTCACCTTTGAATAGATGGTGCTCAAGTTCATAAAGGATGTATACGTGTGGAATTAGAGGCCTGGGGTGGGGTTGGGGGAGACTTGCTGAGGATAAGGGTCAGGAGCCCAAGAGCCAGGTGGAAAGGTAGGGGATCCTGGCTTGGGTTCAGCAGGATGGGAGAAGCCAAAGGCCTGCCTGACTTCATCGGGTGACTCCCGGAAGGTTGCTGCCCCTGGTGCTCCTTCTCCACTGAGCAAAGCAAAAGAAATGATTTTAAAAGGGAATGCAAAGAATTCCGTGGCATCTTCTTCCTCAATGATGTCTAAAACTGGGGAGAGAGAGTGCAGTCTGAGATGTCGGAGAAACGCTGGCAGGGGATGGTGGGAAAATCCACACTTAACCTAGAATAATTTCAAAACACTTTTTAAATTCTCTATTTCTTATCACCCTCTATTAACTCAACTCTGTGAAACAAGGTGGGGCATAGGAAATGGAAAAACCGGGCTATGGAACCCGTTATGGTTCCTCCACAACAGAGGTAGGTCAGAGCAGCATGGGAAGGAAGAGAGGCCATTCCTGTCTTTCTCACCCTTCCGCAGTGAGGAGGGGCGGGAGCCTGTGGCTGACCCATTCCTGGGGTCTGTGTTACTTGTAGGGCCTTGGCAACCTTCCTCAACTCTCGCAGGGGCTTAAGGGCATTTTATGTGGTTTTAAAATATTTTTTTATTTGACCCCTTTTAAATAGGAAGCTATATCACAAACATAAAACAATACCCCAATTTTTTTAAAAAAGTCAAGGGATAGATGAAAAGTGAATTAATCAAAAAAGAGACGTTCACTGATTAAAGAATTAATAAATGGTACATTCATGAATACTTAAAACTGAACCTGTTTAAAAAATAATAAATTTGATCAAAATAAACGTAATGGATTTTTTTTTCTTGCAACAGCACCCCCCACCCCGCCCCCCCGACCCCTACCTTCTCATGTACAGTGGTATAAAGACTCAGGCTGTGTGTGGTGTAAACACTCAGGCTCTGCCTGGTAAACACTGGGGATGGAGGAGGTACCCAGCAGTCACGTCTTCTGAAAGCAATTCCCACAGAATGTCACTGGGACCACTAGTAGGCTCAGACACCTTACTCTATCCTGTATTGGTGATATGGTTTGGCTCTGGGTCTGAACCCAAATCTCACTTCGAATTGTAATCCCTATAATCCCCATGTGTTGAGAGCGGGAACTAGTGGGAGGTGATTGGATCATGGGGGTGGTTTCCCCCATGCTATTCTCGTGATAGGGAGTGAGTTCTCATGAGATCCGATGGTTTTTTAAGTGTTAATACACACTCGCTCTCTCTTGCCTGCTGCCAAGTAAGACTGCTTCCCTTTCCACCATGATTGTAAGTTTCCTGAGGCTTCCCCAGCCATGTGGAACTGTGAGTCAATTAAACCTCTTTTCATTAGAAATTACCCAGTCTCAGGTATTTCTTTATAGCATTGTGAAAATGGACTAATATAATTGGCAACTACCAGTGCTTTAAAATATTTTAAAAAGTTTTTGAATCTACAAAAGAAGAGTTGCCAGTTCTCCTATCTGGATTAAATGTAAAAGGACCCACCTATCCCCTGATCTCCCATGGGCCTGTTTGATGGAATGGCACGGGTAGCTCATGGACCCTCTCTCCTCAAGTGCCTTGTTCTTCAAATCACTCAGGCCTTGACAGTGGCATGGTGGGAATGGTCCCCCACTAGGTACACAGGTAGCTGTGAGGACAGTTACTAACAAACAGCCACCTGCTGATGGACCATTGAGCAACTATTGTGTGTCTGTCAAGCATGCGAGGCATTTTACAAGCACCCGCACTTACTTATGTCCACAACATGCTTGCCAGTTAGGCATTTCTATAAACTCCACTAAACGAACAAGGAAACAGACTCAAACGGAGTTTGAGTAACTTGCCTGGGAGTGCATGGCTAGTCAGTGGCAAAGCTGAGTTGGTCGGCCTTCACGACCCATGCCCCTCTTACTTTGCACATGGCTGTCACTCTCAAGGAAGGAGGCAGATGGAAACACTCAGGGATGAAGGAGTCCCCTGTGCCCAACCCGTACTGGGCAACCTCTCTGGGCAATGCAGGGTGATTTTCTCAACTTCCCTGAGAAAAGAACTTAAGTTCTTGAGCATGCTTGAGCTTATCTCAGGCAGGTTCTATGCTGCGAAGCGGCTTCCCCTCATCCCATTTGGAAATCCTGAGAGAAAGGAGGTGCCATCTGCTGGCTGACAAGCCTGGCAAAAGGGGCTTTTGGTTACTGCATTGAGCTGGGGTGCAGGTCACCATGGCTTGGTGCATGTAGATTTCAGGTGGTAGCTGCTGGACAGGCTGGGTGAACCCACCGTTCTGTTTGTGGCCCTGTGTTACTGATGCTGATGCCTCTAGGAACACACATGGCAAATGCCCCAGGGAGGACAGGAGCAGGTGTGATGTTTCCCTTTCTAAGGTGGGGCAGGCAGGGTGGCCTTACTCTAATGAAAACCAACCCCACTTTAAATCATTCTAGGCCAAGTGCCTAATTCGGGGTGCCCAGCCAGGTGGAGGAAGCCCTCCCTGCTGGTGTTCCTGGCATCTCTGACCCTGGCCTCACCATGCTCATCACTTTCTTCTGCCTGTCAGTTTTGCTGAGTGATGGGGGACCTTTCTCCATGGCCCCCCAGCTGTGCAGGGACAAATCCGGAGCTGGGTAGGGATGGTGGGAGAGACAAGGACTCAGCAGCTGAGCCCTACATGAGTGGCAGAATGCCAGGTCCAGACTCCCCGGTCTCGCGTCCAAGTTGTGCATCTCCATTTTCCCTGCTACTCTGCATCCCTGTGTGGTGGAAATGCCCCCTTTTCACACCAGCTCTCTCTTCTCTCCCTCCTCTCATCTGACGGAACAACCCTGTTGCTCTTTCTTCTCTCAGCTTGCAGGAAATTCTTGGTGGCTTCAGGAGTGGAATGAGGGTGGCATTCTGCCTGTAAGGCCTCTCGGTGGCATGCCTTCCTGTGACCCACTTAATGCCCGCCTGTTCCTCTTCTCCTCCTCCTTCCCAAATGGACTCTGGCATCTAAGCTCTGGTTCACTCCAAATTAGGCAAAGACCAAAAGGCTCTAGGAAACAGGGACATGGCTGTGTTGCTATTGGCAACAAGTTGATGCTACTTTTTTCCAACTAGGAAATTCAAGTAACCCTTGACTATGACTACGGGAGACAGTGAAGCTGGAATTTAGTTACTTGATATTGTGGACAAAGCGGCAAGAGAAAGTTATTTGGTTGGCAGTATGTGATTCTCCTGAGGACCTATGAGGACTCTGACCCCATCCTCCTGAGGACACTTATCTCTTGCAAATGTGTTCACCCAAAACACGTACATTTCTTGGGGTCCTTGGTTTAGCCAGCTGAAAAGGCGGAGCCTAGAATTGCTGACCTCTCATCCCCCCACAAAAGCATAACAATTCAGTGAATGTCCATGCCCATTTGGATGCATATGCAAAGAGGGCCGGCTCATTTCTTTCTTCCCCACTATCAGGAATGCAATTTAGCAGGCACTTATCAGACATGGATTCCTAACCGGAGGAAGTACACCAGGGAACAGACTAAGCAGCGTTTTCAGGAGATACCTGGACAGAAACTTAGGTCATTGGAACTCTTAGCTACAGAGAACCTTATTTCCCTACAGGCTCTTTTCACGTGCTGCTGAGATGCTTTTGGTCCCCATGGGACAGAGGATGGGCGGTTTCCCAGCTTTTTTCTCCCCTGATGGTGTAGTGTGTAGAAATGTGAGATTGCTACGTTTCCTGCAGGATTTGGCCCAGGGCCCACAGAGGAAGAGTTATGGAAGCTTTCACCAGGAAATGAAGCCTAAGGATGCTGTTATTGGATTTAGAAGCATCTTCAAAGGTAGTGGGTATTCCCTGTTCTGCTAGGGAATGGGACTAGGAGAAGAGAGTTACTGGGTCAATATCTAAGGATGTTATCTGCACATTGCCTCTGGGACAAGGGACTCATCTCAGCATCATTTCTGGACCCCTCAGCTCCTTGTTTCTTAGGAGAGAAAAACTATGGGTACAAAAAATGGGCAGAAAAAACAGAGACACCAAGAAATGGGTGCTGCCGACTGTCCCTGGAACCAGGGCATGAGAACAGGAGTGGTGGGCAGAGACGATGCCATGGACAAACAGATCATCTCTTTTGGATTTTGGAACACCTTCTGTGCAGAAGGATTCCACAGATTAGAGAGTGTGCGAACGCCGGGATCACTCACCCACTGCTGGAAGGAAGCCACCTCGGGGGTGAAATGCAGCGGCCATTCTGACTCTGCGCCAGCAGCACTAGGCAATTGTGTTTTTAGGAAGGGAAGTGAAGAATAACTTATCCAGCTGAAACTGTGAAGACCTGTGGCTTTAGAGGAGCCCCTGCCCAGACACACACACAGCTGCAGAGGGCATGCAATCCATGCAACAGAGATACTTGCAGGTTTGCAGCTTATGGTTATATGCACACCATACACTGAACACAGAGGCGAACATCAGGCAGGCGGCACATGCACCTGTGTATACACCTGTGCACATGTGCATACACCAGTGCATGCGTTCATGTGCATGTTGAGACCACAGGCACTTACAGAAGCATCTCATGCAAGGTGCACAGGCAATCGCTTGTTTGGCTGTAGAGTTTTCTATCAGCTCCTAAGATGCCACTCTGACAAATACTGCAAACTTAAAGCATTCACCTTAAAATACATATATAAAAATGGAATTCTCCCCCATGAAAAAGGCATTTATTGACCTCATTGGAAATAAACAACTTCTCCACTTCTGTTTCTGTCGGTACTATAGGCAGTAGGAGTGCCCACCCCAGGGGTCCGGTTTATCAAGGAATTTCAAAGCATCCCCTGCCACGTGCTTCTGACTCCTCCACTACCTCGCTTTGGAATAAGTGGTTAAAAAAGAGAAACCTCTGTTTATTGGACTGACGGAGCAACTGGACTTGTTGAGGTTGCATTGCTCAGGGTGGCTCCAGGCAAGCAGACAGCTGAGAGGTGAGTGTTTCTGTCACATGGAGGGCTACATTTGGAGGAGTGGATTTCATCTTCTTATCTTGGGTAGACCCATTCCTTATCTGTCTCTGGTAGCAGGAGGCACCTTCGAGTCCTTCAACTCAGTAGGCGGCCAAATGCCAGATCCCCACAACACGTGCACCATTTGCCTGGTGGCCCTCCCCACCTCCCAGCACCTTACAGGCTGACAAGCCCCCCAGTTCCCACAGCTTCCCGGGAAGTGCTTAGGGGCCCCAGGAAATCGACCATAGAACAGAAGCTGGCCTGCTGGGCACCACAGTCCCTTCATTTCCAGGAAATGCAGAAAAACTAACTCTCTGAGTTGACTTTAAAAATAAGCCAACAATCATAGCTGCCATTTATTGAGTAGTTACCATGAGCTGATCTCTGTAATACATGCACCTTGTGCAGACTGTCATATAGGAGATACCCACGTACCCACCCTCAACCACAAGATGTATATAATGATGCCTATCTTGCAGAATATTGTTGGAAATTAAATAAGGTAATAAGCGCAGCCTAAGTATGAGCTGCAAATAATATCATAATGATGAAACTGATTCTAAGAGCTACACCTGTTAAGCACACGCACTGCACACAGTGTGCTAAGGACGTTATGCATTTTATTCCTACTTATTTACTCTTATCTCCCTTTTATGGATGAGGAAACTGAGGCTTAGAGAAGCTGTGCAATTCAAACAACTAAGTGATGGAGCTGAAGTAGAACCAAAGTCCATCCCAGGCAAAGCCAGCATGACACAGTCCAACACTGTGAGTGTGAGCTCCCAATAAATGGCAGCTCTTGTGATCACATCCTCATTGAATGCCAACATCTACCCTGTGCAGTGGGCTTTGTTGTACCTGTCAGACATGCAAGTGACTTGCCCAGGGTCACATAATATCAGGTGGAGAAAAAGGGATTCAGCTGGGGTTGCCTGTCTCGAACTTAGCTTACTTCTCTGCATTCTGGTGGGTACTAAAGGGACCGTTGTTCTCAAGGGGTCACACGAGCAGGCCACCTTCAGTAGTGGATGGGAATGCAGTTGGGGGAAATGTCCCTGCCACGTTTTTGACATTTAACTCCAGGTGGTTGGTGCTGCTCAGTCACAATCCAGCTCCTTGCTCTTTTGAGACACAGGTAGTGAGGTAACTGGCTACCTGCAGGGTAAAAGGCAGTCTGGTTGGTATGGGACGGTCAGCCACGAGCAGCCAATCAGGGACCTCTCAGAAACACAGTCCTGCTGGAGCAAGATGCACTTCACTGTGCGGGCATCTGTGTAGTCCCCAGGGAATATAGAAATGAGGGGAACCTGGATGAACCTGCTGAAGGGTGGGTCACGGGGCTCACACACACAAGCCACACTCCTTGATGGTCCTTCTCATGATGTCCTACAGCTATGATAACTATTCAAGAAAGCTATGAGCTGGGCACGGTGGCTCACACTTGTAACTCCAGCACTTTGGGAGGCCGAGGTGTGCAGATCACTTGAGGCCAGGAGTTCGAGACCAGCCTGGCTGACATGGTGAAACTCCGTCTCTACTAAGAGTACAAAAATTAGTTGAGTGTGGTGGTGCAGGCCTGTAATCCCAACTACTCAGGAGGCTGAGGCAGGAGAATCGCTTAAACCTGGGAGGTGGAGGTTGCAGTGAGCTGAGATTGCGCCACTGCACTCCAGCCTAGGCAACAAAGCGAGGCTCTGTCTCAAAAAAAACACCCCCCCAAAAACCAAACCAAAACAACAACAAAAAGCAAGCAAGCAAGCTATGATTAAAGATTAGCCAAGAATGAGATGTGAAGCTGAATCACTACCAAGGAAACCTCCATCAGGTGTAAAACCTCCATCAGGTGTAAAACCACCGGATTGTGATGACTCACAAAGGCTAGTGATTGATTGACTCCTTTAATTATTTAGAATTATGGATGCCTCAGAACCTTCTAGTATTAACCAGGACAGAGCACGTATCAGAATTCCCCCACCACTTTTGCTGCAGAAGATTACAAGGTTGGGTTAAGTGTTGTCTTGGATGCTCCATCTCCATTTCCCAGTGTAATGTGCTATGATGTTAAGGCCAGGCTTTCGGTCCTTGCTTGACAGTCTGTCTTTTCCTGTTAGGCACGGGGGCTCAGATGTACTTGGTGCTTAGTGCAAACAAAAAAAGCCAGGGGCATGGTGTGGAATGGTTCTCCAGCCCTGTCACTAAGTACAGGTGCCCTCTGCCTCCCTGCCTTCCCTCTCCCCCACCTCTTATACCTAGGCACCAACTGCACCTGATAGAGTTTTAATGGAGTATCTGAGAGAACATAGTAGCAATCAACCCTGACTGGGCTTTCTTTAGCTGTAAAAAGTGTCTTATTAAAACTTTGCTGACTTTACCGGGATCGCCATGTTTAATGAGAGGCCTCAAAGAATTTGAAAGCAAAAGATGGAGAGGAAAAAAGTCACAAGCTGTAATCACCATAATTACACAATCCCACGATGAGTTGAAAGCAGCCCTGGTGAAGCCCAAGAGAGGAGGGAGTGTCATCGGCAATCGGGGTGGTTCTTAGGACAGCTGGAAAGAATGTGACATGGGAACCCTTCCCTTTCCCTGAGCTGGGCTGAGGACAAGTCCCCCTGGCAGGGCCCTAGAGGAGGGAAGCCAGGGTGGGGGCATAGTTTCTCCTCAGTCCGAGGTCTCTGGGGGGTTTTTTGTGGGATGGGGATGGAGTTTTGCTCTGTCGCCCAGGCTGGAGTGAGGTGGTGCAAGCTTGGCTCACTGCAACCTCCGCCTCCCTTGTTCTAGTGATCCTCCTGCCTCAGCCTCCCGAGTAGCTGGGATTATAGGCATGTGCCACCACACCTGGCTCATTTTTGTATTTTTAGTAGAGACGGGGTTTCACCACGTTGACCAGGCTGGTCTTGAACGCCTGACCTCAGGTGATCTGCCTGTCTCGGCCTCCCAAAGTGCTCGGATTACAGATGTGAGCCACCACGCCCAGCCGGCTGAGGTGTTTTTGATGTTAGCTCATTTACCTGGAATCTGGAACTGGCATTGGGTAAAAGGCAAATGACTTTATGATCCTTTTTGCTTTCAACAAAACACCCTTTCCGGATGGGAACTATGACAGGATGAGTTTTCTTCAACCTTGGGCCAGGACGCCCCACGCACATGGCCACCCTGGCTGTGCTGGGGCTCACTGCACGATGGTTGCCAATGCCCTGTGCCAGTGGGCGCCTGTGTCCTCCACTTGCTGACCTCCTTTCAGACATTCGGGAGAGAGAGCCCTGTTGCCCAGAGCTCAGCTGCTGCGGCAGCAAATGCCAAAAAAAAAAACAAAAAACAGAAAAGAAGGCAAGGATGACATGTGAAGGGCAGTAATTCCACTTCCTGACGGTTTCCCTTGCTTTGAGTGTGTCATCTTGTGGCTTTTTCTCCCTCAAGGCGGAGTCTAGTCCTGAGTCTTTCAGATCCCTCTCCTCCAATCTCAGCAAACTCCTTCCTTATAATTCATTCTCCTTTTCCAGGACTTATTTATAAACCACAGAATGAAATGCAGTCGGATCCATTTAACAAGTATTTGGGGCAGCATAGAATTCCAGTTGCAAAAGATCATGGGATCTGGTGTAGAAACCTACTCTGCACTATCCTTGGCCATTCAGCTTCTAAACGGCTAGACATGGAGCTCGTTGCCCTTTGAGGGGACATAGTCTATTGTTGGAATATTCTGTTATTGTTAGAATATTTTTAGTATCTACCTATCTATCTTCTAGCCATTTGTTCTAGCCTTGCTCTCTGGAGCAACCCGGAAGTGTCCACTCTTGAAGACAAATGCAAAGAGCTCACGGTGGCCATCAAGTCTGCTGGGGGGCTAGACATTTTTACTCCAGCCTCTTCCGACGTGGCTTCCAGGGTCACTTTCTCTCTCTAGCTCTTCTCTCTCAATTGTCTCTAGATGTTAAAGTTCCTGATAATGTGGGGGCTTAGAACCAAGACTTAATATTGCTTAGAGCAACAAAAAGCAATGGAACACTTTTCCTTTCCCACTTTTGTTATATAGCCTAAAGCTGCCCTTTGGAAAGCAGCTGCATTCTGCATTTGCTTACACTAAGCTTATCGTCAATTACAACCCAAGAAATTTTTTTTTTTTAAACTTGATTTTTAGGAAAGGCTACAAATGCCATCCTGTAGTTGGGAAACTGAATTTAAAACACACACACACACACACACACACGCGCGCACACACACACACACAAATATGATCTGGTAAAATGCTATCTGTTTTTGACCCATCATCCCAGCTGCGGGAAATGCTTTCCAAATATAATTCCATTATCTACCAAATGAGCCACACTTTGGAGGTCTGGATCTTTGAATGTGGTTGGAATGTTTGTCTCTTCATCCAAGTCATCAAAAAGGTTATTGGATGGGCCATGGCTGAACCCTTGTGGCCCGCTCAGAGACTGCCTTTCCAGCGGACATAGACGGATTAATACACCCTCTCCCCTGCCATGAAGACGCTGAATATACTCACTTCACCTACAAAGGGGCAAACAGGGACGTGGAGGTGAGCAGGGGGAGGGAGGCAGGAATGGGCATTGCTTTCACCCTTCTTGTGCTGCTAACAGGCCACATATGAGTATTTTCTGGAGTGGGAAATGTATTTTTTAAGGTTACCCTTCTTAACAGTAAGCCAGACCGCCACGGGGGGTGTGGAGAGAATCTGCCAAATATTACACCAATGAGGCCCATTCCCGTATGTGGCCATGGTGCTGTTGCTCATGCTCAGGCTGATACAATGTGGCCATGATTAGGGGGCATGGAAGAACCGCTGCCCTGTGGCCCTGCCACTGCTGGGGTGGCTCCATGCTTCCAACCCCGTCTCACCTTCCCACCCATTGGGAAGCCACTAAGCAAACACCCAAGGGTCTTTCTCTCATCCACCTTTGGGCAAACATGACAAAACTAAAAATCCCACTGCTCTGAGTCCCACCCCCGGCAGTGTCCCATTTAGCCACACTGCAGGAGGGCAACATCTTACAGGCTATTCCTACCTATGGACAGGTATCCTGGCCTCCTTCCAAAATGTCATGCTTTCCTAACTCAACTCAAACCAGGGACACTCATCACTATTTTAAAAGGGGGAAGCATCCCCTGTTGTTTCCACCAGGAGCTCATTTTGGGGGGACTTCCATGGGTCGGGGGGGGGTCTTACTTCTTAGCCTTTGAAGTCCTCAGACTTGAAGCTCTCTGACTTCTCTTTGAACTTTCCAGTCTGGACCACAGGCAGAGTTGGGTCTCCTCTCCTTGACCGTGACATTGGCAGTGCTGTCGCCTTGCCAGACTCCTGCCATTGGATGCTCTTTCTCTGGCCCCCTCTGCTGCGGTGCTGCTGCTCCCCGGACAGGACTGAGGCAGGCTCTGTCCTAGGCAGAGGCGGGCATCCTGTCTTCTGAGTGGTCGGCCTTCCCGCTGTTTATCCTGCGGGGGGCCCTGCACTCCCCTTCACTCTCTGCCTTCTTACTAGGCAGGTGGGAGCCCACACAGTTCCCATGTGGCTGCACGAGGATGGCACTGGGGTCTGACTGCACAAGTGACAAGCATGCCGAGACCCCACAACCCCATCAGCCGCTTGTAAAGTGAGAGCACCTTTCCTGAGAGTGGGTGGGAGGAAGGCACTGTCATGGCGAAGGCCTGCAGGTCACCTCCCGAAATAGATCCCTGCTTGGCATACACACACTTTGCCCCCAGCCTGCCTTGCTAGAGACTGGCAGGGTACGCGATTTGGATCTGAATCAGTGGCTGTAAACACACAGCTGTGTCTTTCTGCCTCAGAGGATTTGATTTTCACTTGACTGCTTGGCACATTGGGGTCTGGGGAAGGCAGGAGAGGGCCTGGGCGGGGGTCGAGGGAGGGCCCACCAGGGAAAGCCAGGAGCAGCTGCCTCCACCGGGCCCTGATTGCCCCACATGTCCAGAAGGTGAGTCACCAGTGGGGTTTTTCTCCAAGTGGGCACTCCGTGGGGAGAGCATTTTGGCTGCTTTTGGCGGACAGGTTGAACCATCAGCGGGAACAGCTGGGGGCTCCTCCTTCCAACGGAAACGTCAGGGTCTAGGGCCCAGTGTCTCAAAAATGACAACCAACTTCTGGCCTTTTTTGATAAAAGTCTCGAGACTCCTGTCAACCCCGTGAGGAGCCACTTTGTCTTCTCTGTACCCACCAGCCATACTGAGTCTGTTGTTTTACATTTTGTAGTTTATAAAAAATAGACTTTTATATTTTCATTTTCCAGCTACAAAACTATAACAGTAAATATGCTTTTCCTAATTTCACACAGAGTCAAGATAAGAAGCGAAGCATAGAGGAGTTGTAACCTGGTCTTAACCACGGACTTCACCACTGATTGTAAACAGGATAACACTGTCTCTCATACTCTTATTTCCCATCGCTAAAAGAGGACAGCAACAAGCTGGCCCAGGGTTCCCTGGGGAACCAGAAAGCCTGGTAGCAGGTGAGCAGCAGAGTGTGCTGAGATTCCCAAGTGCTCACATTTCATTCCTTCCTATACCCATAGGGCCCCTGGGACCCCACAGTGCATGCAGTGATGCGGCAACACCGACCCTGGGGTCCACCTTTCTGCCCAGCTGACCCCACCTGACACACACACACACAGCTGGGCATCCAGACCGGAAGGGTGGGGACTGCAGAACTGGCAAGCTGAAGGGTGTAGGGCACTCACCCTGTTCTCTGTGAGTCCTCCCTGACCCTCCGGCGACTCACCGTGGACGAGTGAACCCTGAACAACTGAGCAGGGCCTGTGGTGTAGGTGTGGGGAGCCTGGGGCACTCAGTTCTCCTGCCAGTGCATGTCCAGGCTTTGTAAATACACCCAACTCAAGTCTATCCACAGTTTATTTCCCAGCCTCACAGGCTGGCAGGCACTTCTGAATCAGGTAACTAACTGGGCAAGAAGACAGCTCCTCTCCCATTCTAAGGAATGAGTTATATAACTCAGAAATCTCAGGACAGAGGGAAGCACAGACCTGCAGAACACCGCTAGCTGGAAGGGACCATCGAGACGACCTAGTCCAAGTCATTTCAGAGGAGAAAACCAGGGCTCAGAGAGGGCTAGTGATTTGCTTGAGGTCACATAGCTAGCAAGCTGAGGCTGGAAGCAGGAGCCAGTCTGCAGGAGGGCTGCTGAGGTGTCTCAGAGTCCCAGGACATGCACTTGCTGCTCCAGAGAGGCAGGTTTCCCTGCTTTCCTTCCCAAACACTTCGATGGAAGTCTCCCTCCAGCTCCAGCCAGGGCCAGGGTTTCACTGCAGCTGGATCTCAGTGCTCTGAGATGGGAGAGGCTGGCACTAATGTTTGTGACCCAGTGGTCCCAAAGGAGTCCAAGGACTGTTTGCAATAAAAACTAACCCTTTGGAAAGATTTTTAGCCAATTGGCCCTTGCCAGAGGCACAGAAAGATCATTTCAACTGAGGTCAAAGCCCTCTGGGGATTCTGCTGAGTCTAGGTATTTGGGAACTCATTCCACCAGGGTGCAAGGCTGTTCCCCATGAAACCTTGAGGAGGAGGGGAAAACAACACCGCCTTCCTGGGGGCAGGAGCTGCTTCTGCCGGTTGGCTGACTGCCCTGATTGCCTGCCTGCCCCCTCCCCTGCGGAGAGCCTTAGCCCTCCACTTCCGGTCAGCACCTGGGCCTGGAGCTGGGAGTTTCTCTCTGCAGAGCTGCCTGGAGGGGGATGAGTGAGCTGTTGACTTCTTGGCTCTCATTAGCTCTTCCTTGGCTTTTGGCAGGGGAAGGAACAGGGGGATGGAAGGAGGGGGCGAGGGAGGCTGAGTGGCAGCTGGCTCCCAGAGCTTCCCGCTCCCCATCTGACTTGCCTGCTGCATTCCTTGGCAGGCAGGCAGGACAGGAAAGCCTGTCGCAGAGATGCCACCCATCACATGCCAAGCCTTCTGCAGCTTCCGGCCCTTCCTGCCGCAATTCCAAGGAGCACCTTGGCAAAGCTAAACTTCGATGCTCTCTTAGGAGGTGGATGAACGCCTGGTCCTCCTCTCCCTTCTCCTCCGTGGCCTCCAGTGCTTGCTCTGGCACCAGCAACCCCATTTTCTATCTATCTATCTTTGGAGCCCAAGGCTGGAGCTGATGAAGCTCTCAAGAGGGCAGGTAAGGTTTCAACTGAGCCTCCAAAGGTACCCAGGGAGGCTGACACCAGCCTCACTCGGGGCTGCCATTTTCTCCTAACTTCAGTGCTATCACCCTCTGCGGCTTTTTCTGTGGAACTGGACAGAGGAGCAAAGGACTTTCTCCAGCTTCTCCTCCCCAGATTGGAGCTCTCACCAGATGGCTTCAGCCAGTATCTATCTCAACAAGGGAGCTGCTGCTGTGGCTTGGCCCCGATTCCTCTTGCCCCCTCTCCCTCCCACGCATGCTCCTGGTCCTCTATGTCAGAGCCAGGCCCTCTTTGGTGAGGCCCCCCACCCCACTGTGGTAGACTCTGTGGAAGCTGAAGCAACAAGCACACTTAAGAGAGAGCAGAGGGCGGGGTGTGGTGGCTCATGCCTGTAATCCCAGCACTTTGGGAGGCAGGTGGATCACTTGAGGTCAGGAGTTTGAGAACAGCCTGGCCAATATGGTGAAACCCCATCTCTACTAAAAGTACAAAAATTAGCCGGGTGTGGTGGCGTGTGCCTGTAATCCCAGCTACTCGGGAGGCTGAGGCAGGAGAATCGCTTGAACCTAGGAGGCAGAGGTTGCAGTGAGCCAAGATTGTGCCACTGCACTCCAGGCTCGGAGAGTGAGACTCTGTCTCAAGAAGCAGTGGGAGGGTGAGCATTTCAGCTCTGGCCACCTTCATGCTCCTATTGTCCTCTGTCAACTGCAAAACCAGGAAGATAGCAGAGAGTGGCAGGCTAGACATCACCAAGCAACAGGAAAGAGTCTTCAGTGAGAGAAGGCACCTCCTCTCCCTGGTCAGTAATGCCTGAGACTTCCCACCAAAGAATCTGAAGAACAGCTGGAAGGTGAAGCAAAGGCAACCCACAGTGACTAGCCAGATTTCTCCTACTGTGGTTTTCATATGTTACAGCCACTGTGAAAGGAAGCTTCCCCATGAGCAGGATTAGGCAGAGACAGGCTCCAAATCACATGACCTGAGGCCATGTATTGGGGGCCCTGGAGAAGCTGCTGTGTGTTACAGCTCTTTCTGAAACAGGCTCCTCGGACAAGGGTGGCCATGTACAGTGGCGTGGGTTATTCACTGCACCAGGGCAGCTGAGGATCAATAGGGGCTGAAACCCAGCCTGTGTTTTGCCTGGTCAGCTGGGCATCTGTGAGGCTGGGCCCACCAGAGGGAGTCTTGTTTTCCATTTTGGATGAACGTACATGGTAGGCTAGTTGCGCCCTGTCGTGGACTTCAGTCATGTTTAGTTCAGAACCTGGGCCTTATCAAATAAGCAGGGTTTGTGGTTTCAGTCTGCAAAATGACAGGATGCTTGGCCCAGTGTCCCCAGACATTTGCTTTGTATATCCAAGTCCTGAGTAACCTGGAATGAAGCTTGCATTGGAAAGAGAAGCTCATACAGCACTTCCTCTATTGACTGGGGAGTACCAGGCCCCTTCGTCACCCAAACTAACATGGCCCTAAAAGCTTCCATGAACCATATTAAATGTCTCCTTAGGATCTCATGGAAAAGGGGGCATATGTGGTCTTAACAGATAATCCCTCTATGTCATGGCACAACATAAGACTTGGAAAGAACAATTTGTTTTTTCCAAGTGTTTCTCTTCTACCAAGAAAAGAAAGGACATTGGCATGTTCTGGGGAGAAATTCTGAATTCAGATTCAGTCTTGACAAGCCTCCAGCTGAATGAGTTATCCAATCACCTGGATCAACATTATTTCTTTTTGCCATCAATTAATCCTAAATGGTAATTGGCCTCACGTCTTTGGTCCGTGAGCTGCCCAGCTTCACTCCCCTGTTTCCATTATTAGCCCCATGACATGGGTCATGTTCTTACACATCTTTCCCAGCAACACAGGAATGCTATTGAACTGGCCCTTCATTTAGTTTTATAGCTTGCAGTATATAGCAGATAAAACATTCACGTAGATCTTCTCTTAGAGAAATCAAATACTTTAGGCATATGATAGTCAGAGAATGGCTATCAAATTGCAAGGCATATTGGTTGATCAGTTAGTTAGTTCTGTTTGATGAGACCACTGGGCTGTTGAGACCAGATTCCTGGGTTCCAATCTTAAGTAATCTGAGAGCCAACACATGGGTCATATTATTCCCCAAACTTAGCCACATCTTGTGGGGCTATGGTGTCACCCCAAGAGCAGGAGGAGCATGGATGGATGGCAATCCATCTCCACCACTGGAACCCCAAATTCTGAATGCATCACCTGTTAGAGTTTCTTGTTCATAAAATAGCAGGGAATTTAGGAATTTAGTTTTTTTTAATAGTTTGGGCCTTTTATCCACACCCTCAGGAGCTTAGGATACTTTTCTCCTTCAGCTCACTCTGAAACTCCCTCTGGAAGCTCTCCCATGTGTGCACTTCAGACACTTAGGGGTGTCTTGGTGCTTTCTTGTTCCAAATGCTTTGCTAACAGACCTTGGGAGAACCCCCAAGCCAACACCACTTCTGGGATGAAAGGAAATCAATAAATGCTCCTCACAGAGCTTCGCGAGACCATTCTTGCCTTTCTTGATACTCACTTCTCTTGAAAAACAGCCTGAAAATGTCTGGACGTTTTGTCCAAGTACCAGGCTTCCCCTCTCACACCCGTGGCCTGCACGGTCACCCTCAAGAGCTTCCGGGGGCTGTCAAGGCTCTGCTTACACAGGCACCCTTGGCTTGTCAGCAAAATCCCTAACCATCCTCCACCCGCACAGTAGCCAGTCCTCAAAAGAGACAAACAGAGAGAGATGGGATCCCACTACCTTCTCTCAGGCCATCATGGAGTGAAGGAAGTCCCAGAAGCCTTGACTCTGACAGCCCGTGGCAGCTTCTTGGTGTGCGGAGCCACACGGCCATTGGCAAAGCAGCCATGAAGATAGACCAGGCACCCGCAGGCCTTGTGTTCTGCACATTCTGATTTCTCATGAGGAAAGGCCACAGAGAGGGAAGACCGAGGAAGGGAAGGGATGGATACCGATGTTTAATTAATTGCCACCCACTAGAGTTATTTGAGGTTTACATGTAGCAAATTCAAGATAATGTTTAAATGCACTTAAAATGCATCTAGCTACGACACGTAAATGACTAGGCTGCTTTCAACCCAGGAGCCTTAGACTTTTTCTTAAAAGGATGAAATACGTATACCAGTCACACAGTAGTCAGGTTTTACAAGGATTTTCCTCCTCAACAGAGGTGGAACAAAGGCAAGTCAATATCAATGGGCTGCCACCCTTTGGGAAGGGAATGTGGCCAGCTCCCTGCATGGGACCCTGCTCCCTGGTTCCCTCTGGTTTGATGTTCATGGTACAGGATGGGCCCCGTGATTGAGCGGGATTGAGTATTTCTTGTGCACTGAGCTCAATGTTCAAATCTTGGGCCGACCAGCATGGAAAGAGGAGATTGGCCTGTGTTGTTCTACAAACCATGGTAGAGAGTCTCAGCCATGCACCCCAGGGAACAGCCACGGACTCCCCACTCCCACCTGTTGCCACGGCTGTCTTTATGTGCCACTGTGGGGAGCTCTACCTCTCTAGCTGGGGCGTACCATGAACCTGTAGGAATCTGAAGCCCATCTTTACCCAGCCTGTTAGAATCAAGGCCTGAGGAGGCCGGTAGGACCTTGCCCCCGGGGAGTACCCAGGACACCGCAGGGATTCAGCTACTTCCCTCCTCTCCCTATCACACTGTGCACATGAGGCTGATGGGGGCTGGAAGGGACTCATGCAGAGGCGACTAACACACACGCCAGCTAGGCCACATCGCCAGGACCCATGCAGCACGGCCGCTTTCTGCACACAGCAAAAGCCGCCTACACAGCAACATTAGCTCGCGACCCACACCGGCGTGACTGCCAGGGTTCACAGAGGGAAATTTTGGCTTTTTTTTTTTTTTTCGATGAGCTATGGTTCTGAGCCAATTTATTTCACGGTATAGTTCGATGGCTTCTCCCTGAGCTGCTGCAGAAGATGCACAAACCGCACAGCCCCGAGGGCAGCAGGGTCCCTCCTCCTCAAAGCCCTGAACAGATGATCAAATGCCCAGGCCTGAGGCTGGGCGATCAAGGGTGCACCTTCTGCAGAGGGAGCCGCTTGCTCTTTTTTGCATTTTCATCCCTAGAAGAGAAGCTGCAGACACTCGCAAAAGAAAAGGGCTGAGTCGAGGGAGAAAGCACTGGACTCCCTCCCACCCCAAAGGAAACAACAACCAAAGGGAAAAAAAAAAAAAAGAAGAAGAAAGAAAAAACCAAAACCAAAAGAAAAGCTGAGGGAAGAAAACCGACTGAACTTACCACACTGCGAGTGAACTTTTCTAGGGAAGTTCTACGACCTTGCTCACTTTCTGGCTTTAGGAAAAAAAAAAAAGGGTAGGGAGAAAAATACAGAAAAAAAAAATCTTCAGCTTATACGTGGTTCCCAAACAGCAGCAGCTGCAGCTAAAGAATAACAAAAACCAAAGCAAAATGGGGCGAAAAATGGGAAAAGAGAAGCAGCCAGAGCTGTTGGAAGAGTCAATGGGAGAGACAGAAGACAGAAGCCCACGAGAAATGGTGCCGCCTCCTTGGAGCAGGGAGCAGAGAGGGGGGCTTTGCTTCTCCGGGGGCCATGAATGGTGCTTGCGGGGCTTGGATCAGAACCATCATGACTTTGCTGCAGGACCACAGTCGGTGGGTTTGAGCAGCTTGCTTGCTGCTTTCAACCTGCCGTGCCCACAGGCAGGAGCCCTGGTGGTTGTGGCCCTGGGGCCCTGGGGGCCCCCCAAGTCCTGACACAGAACAGACTGGCTCTGAGAGCCAGCAGGGTGTGGGAGGGACGTCAGGAAGGGGCTGCCGGGGAAGCGAAGTTATCTACTCATCCATGAGTCTGCCTTAGGACTGTTTTCTCTCTTGAGATTCCCCTGCCCAGAGGCAGCCAGAAAGTTTGCTAACTTCAGTGACTTCCTAGTGACCCTCGTTCTGTGTCCTTAGAGCAAGGAGGGTCTACTCATAGCCTTTGCCATGGACAAAGGGTCTTGGGTCTCAGAAGACAATAACATGGGGATTGTGTGTTTTCTCAGTATCCAAAAGGTGACATAACACCTGCCAAGATGTACGTACGACAGGCTAGAGGAAGCTCAGAAACCATTGTGGGGAACTCTTAGCTGGGGTTCCCAGAACAGGAGCGAGGAGAGGCAAAGCCCTTGAATGTCTTTCCAGGCCTAGCCTCCCTCTACTACAGGAGGAAGAGAGGTGTGGGGTGCTCCTGACTTTCCTTTCACCCCACATTTCCTAGCTGCAGGGGTTCCGGGAGAGTAGAATGACCGCTCAAATACCTGCTAGTGTATCCTGGATCCCGTTCCAGGGTCCTGAGCCCGAGGCTGAGAAGTTCGGAGAGTGCACACACTCACATAGACACAAACATACACCCAGCAAATAACTGAAATGAGGGAGCTAAAGAGGCAGCCTGAGGTCTGTGGGTCTGCGGACTGTGCTGAAAGCAGAGGGGACAGGCCAAAGGCAGCCGCCTGTGTGGATGAAGTTGGGGGGCTTCCTTGGCAGCCAGGCCCCTTGTCAGCTCAGCTGGCTGCCAGAAGACAGATATGAGGTTGCAGAAGGAAAATACAACACAAACGACATAACACCACAGAGTTGGGCTGGCCTTTCTTCTTGTACTAGGAACTGAAGGACTCATGCTTGGCCCCGGGTACCATACCAAGTCTCTATTCTGGGGATGGCAGGACTCAGCTTGAACCCTGTGGCCAGCCTGGGTGGCATACACTTGGCTCAAGTCAGGCCAGTCCTGGGCCCTGCAGCTGGCATTGTCGGCCTGTTATTCTTATCCTCTGGCTCACAGAGGGTGGCCATTGGTCTGGCTCACTTGGCTCCTCTGCCTTGCACTGGCCATTGAGCTGCCCTGGAAAACCATCATCACTGGTACTGAAGTTTCCTAGAGTAGCCCTCAGGACTCAGCTCACCTACCCCCTGAGAACCTGATTCTTCAGTGTGACTATCATTTATTTGGAAAATATTAGAAAAGAGGCTGAATTAGGGATGAAGGATCAGAAGGCTGTGCCTCAAGACTCCGTCCAGGTCAGTTCTCAGCAGAAAAGTGAGGCTGATTCATATTCCCTCTCTCCGCCGGAGGTTGTGAATCTCACATACCTTTTATGACCTGGATACGGTGAACCCGTCCCTGAAATCAGAAGAATACTCTAGGCCTACCTGAAAGTGCCGAGTTACAAATCAGATCCATACCTGGAGACTCTCAGGAAGAAACAGAAGGAGAAAGCAGGTTTTGTCACTGTTTTGGGAAACAACTCCTCAGTATTGAGACGTTGTTGGTATCTGCAAGGGCTTTCTGTCTCAAGAACATCCCTTACTTCGGGAGCTGGGAGGATAACTCTAAGGAACTTTTCCCAGGCAGGTTGCCAGTTCCTTCCTCACTCAAGTGACCTCCTCTGAGAGGTTTTCTTCTTGGAAGGGAGGATCTGCAGCCACAGGGGTCTCAGCCTGGTTTGGGGTGCATTTTTCCTTTGTGTTCAAACCCACAAGGAGAATCAATGGCCTCTAGCTTCTCTTCTTCTAGGTGTGTAGACAGGCCTAGACTGGTTAAACTACCAGAGCCTTAGAAAGTCACCAAACTGTGATCAGATCAGGGGTCTTGAGCCACAGAAAATAAGAAAAACTTACTTTGACCTTCATCCATGAGATCTGGGCTGGAGTTATCAAAAGTTCCTATAATTTTTCTTTCCTCTAGTTCTTAGAAAAAATGGGCATTAGAGCCATGTATGAGGGTGTCGGCCTCCTCCAAAGGAGCCCCTCCATTGGCATCCTCCAGCAGGGGAATCGACAGGAGGCCAGGCTCCACACTGCCCATCACAGTAGCCACACCTGTGGGGAGGGATGCAGGAAACCCAGAGAGCTGCTGACAACTGGGATACCCCAGAAGTCCTCTTTCCTTTCTCAGACTCCATGGCCTCTTTCCAGGGCTACACAAGGGCAGGAGAGCAGGTTATAAATGCTCTCCAGGACTCTGGAGTTGTGTGGTCCCAACCAGATACGCAGACAGGATCCTGGCACATGAGGGTGACAGCACACAGAGAGAAGGCTTGCGTGGCTGAGAGGCAGCCCAGCGGAGAGCATGTGATGGGCAACCACGTGCTTAGGGCCTGGGGCTGGGAGTCCAGGAGGGAGGAGAAAGGGATGCCTGTGCTCCCTAAGTGCCATGGCACAGAAGTCATAGGGTTTGGTGCAAGTTGAGCCACACTTAACCACACATGGGCCTCAGATCAGAGCTGAAAAGCACAGAGGGTGGGCAGGTGTACTGAAACCAGGAGCCCTCTCTCTTGCCTTCCATTCCCTTCCTGGACCCTATTCTCCTGCCTACTCTTCCTCCTCTCTTCCCAGGAATCTAGCTGAATTTATTCCTGCTTCTGTCACCCCTCACCTGCATGCTGAGGGCCCCTGCACCTCAAATCCATGACTCCATGGGCTGCAAGGAACCATGGCTGAGTTCTAAGGAGGAGGAGGAAGGAGCTGGGTGCAGTTACTTCTTGGTTAAGAGAGAAAGGCAACACCGTGGGGCAGGTGCGGGAGAGGAAGGGGGTGTCAAGGAGGGAGAAACCCCAGGATGACTTTAGGTACCTGATTGTGCTCTTGAAACTGACAAGGCTTTCTGACCAGTGAGAGAGCTGCCCCAACCCTGGCCTCATACTCCTCTCTGGGCTGGTCAGGGAGAGAAGTCTGAGGTGAAGGGGCTGGACTTTGCAGTGAGGGGCTCTCTCCAGTGTCCTAAGGGTTTTGCTGGTGTTACTGCCAGCCCTGCACTCCTATGCTGAGCCACTGTGGCCTTAGTCTTTTGTCACCCTACGTACCCACCCCCACCATGGGCAGAACATGCAGAGAGAGGCAGTAGGGATGTGGAGGTAGGATGCCCCATCCTGGACCTTGCAGTGGGGCTGGGGTGGTGACAATCCTAACTGTTTTCCATTAGAATGGGAGCAGATAGAGAAGGGAAAGAAGAAAGTAGGAAATAAATAAAACCCAAGGGATGATATTCTCATTTCAAACCAGCAGCAAGCAGCAGGCAAGAGTCAACAGTGCTAAGAGCAAGCCTGCCCTTCCCAAAGATACCTTCTTCTTGGCCAGCAGCAAATCCTGGTAAGCATTTGACCGGAGGAAGCGGGCATAGCTGTCACTCTTCATCAGCTTGTAGATGTGCTCCTGGGGAGGAAGGTGACAAGGAGACACAAGGAAGGGCTGTCAACCAGTGCTAAAGAATATTACAATCCAATTGATCACTGTTTTGGGGAAGGAGATGAAGGAACCTAGGTATGTTTGCATGTACCTAGAAAAACTTGCAACATGTTCCATCCCCACACCCCCAAACTCAGCAGCACCAAACAAAACATATGGGCTCTCTTAGAATAAAAGTTCCCTGAGGATCATGTCCTGAGGGATTTGTAATTGGGCTTGGGTGCCATGTTGGGGTGCTTAATGATTAAAACCAGACATGGCAATGAGGAGGAACAAACTGTTCTTACACCCAACAACAACTTGGATGAATCTCAAGGGAATTAGGATGAGTAAAAAAGCCAAGCTCCAGATTATAAACTATATTATTTCATTTACATAACATTCTTGAAATGACAAATTATAGAGACAAAGAACAGATTAGTGGTTCCTGGGGTTAGAGATGAGGAAGTAGAGGGAGCAAGGGAGGTGTGGTTATAAAAGGCAACAGGAAGGATCTTTGTGGTGACAGAATGGTTCTGTATTTTGACACATCTTAACACGTGATAAAGTTGTATAGAACTAAATGCACACATACATACATGGGGCACAAGTAAAACTGGGAAATATGAATAAAATCAGGGGATTGTAGCCATGTCAGTATCATGGCTGTGATATGGTACTATAGTTTTGCAAGATGTTGCCATTGGGGCAAACTGGGTAAACAGCACAGTATTTCTTATAACTGCATCAGAATCAATACGTATCTCAAAATAAAAAGTTTAATTTAAAAAAACAGGCAATAATGCAATTGGGTCAGTTTGTGCATTTCAGGGCCACCACCTCGTCCTGGAAGGAGTTCTTGGCAACCACATCACAGGACATGTAACTAACACCCAGGAGGGGCAGGTGCTGCAGCAAGGTGCCGCCTCTTTTCCTCGGCTCCCAGGGGCATTTGTTATACATTCTGGCCTTGGCAAATAATTTCACCCCTGATTTCCAGCTAATTCCTAGAATCTTGTGGTCCCTTCCAAACAGATCTGTCCTCATCAAGGGTTGGAAAATCCTGGTCCCTTAGAAAAGAGGACTTGTCAGTGGGCAAGATTATTTATCCATTGAAGTGGAATTCAGCTCAGCTGCACAGGAAAGCTTGGCTGTTCCAAGAGAGAATGTGTTAGGAGGGAGGTTGGCCTTCACTGGGGAGGGCGGGCTTGTTAGTTAATGGCTGTCCTGGTGGAGGAAGCATCTTCCCCCATGTATGCTCATTGTTCTTCTCATGAAGCCAGACAAAGGCCCTAGTGGTGAGGGGGATGGAGAGCTGGTCAGGGAGGAGGAGAGTGCTCATCTGAGAGGCAGGACTGGTCATTAAGGACCTCTTCCTTGGTGCTCTTTCCAGGGAAGGGATCGAAGGAGGAGGCACAGACCTCCCATCAGCTGGGGGACACATTTTAGAGATGCCTGGCCAGAAAAAGACAGAGCAATGACAAGGATTCACCAAGACTCACTCCTTACCCAGCACAAAAGAAAGGGAGAGCACAGTAGCCAAGATATGGAGTCAACCTATGAGTCCATCAATGAATAGATAAATGGGTAAAGGAAATGCAGTATATAGGCATAATGGAATACTATTTGGTCTTAACAAAGAAGGAAATCCTGTCATTTGTGATAACATGAACAAACCTGGAGAACATTAGGTTAAGTGAAATAAGTCAGGTACAGAAAGACAAAATACCACTTGTCTTCACTTATGTAAGGAGACCTTGGAGGTATTGTGGGTTTGGTTCCAGGCCACCACAATAAAGCAAGTCATAAGAAATATTTCGTTTCCCAGTACACATAAAAGTTATGTTTACACTATATGTAGTCAATGATGTGTGCAATAACATTATGTCTGAAAAAACAAGGTACATACCTTAATTAAAAAATACTTTATTGTTAAAATGCTAAGGATCATCTGAGCCTTTGGTGAGTCATAATCCTTTTGCTGGGGGAGGGTCTTGTCTTGACATTGTTGGATACTGACTGATTAGGGTGGTGATTGCCGAAGGCCGAGGTGACTGTGGCAATTTCTTAAAATAAGACAATGAAGTTTGTCGCATCAATTGACTCTTCCTTTCGCAACAGATTTCTCTGTAGCATGTGATGGTGTTTGATAGCATTTTACCTACAGTAGAACTTCTTTCAAAATTGCAGTCAATCCCGTCAAATCCTGCTGCTGCTTTATCAACTAAGTTGATGTAATATTCTAAATTCTTTGTGTCATCTCAACAATGTTTGCAACATCTTCATTAGGAGTAGATTCCATCTCAAGAAACCACTTTCTTTACTCTTCCATAGGAAGCAACTCCTCATTCATTAAAGTTTTATTATGAAGTTGTAGCAATTCAGTCACATCTTCAAGCTCTATTTCTAATTCTAGTTCTCTTGCTATTTCCACCACATCTGCAGTTACTTTCTTCACTAGGATCTTGAACTTCTCAAAGTCATCCATGAGGGCTGGAATCAACTTCTTCCAAACTCCCATTAATGTTGATATTTTTACTTCTTTCCACGAAACACAAATGTTCTTAATGGCATCCACCAGAAGGGTGACTCCTTTCTAGAAGGGTTTTGATTTACTTTGCCCAAATCCATCAGAGGAATCACTGTCTGTGACAGCTATAGCTTTATGAAATGTATTTCTTAAATAATAGGACTTGAAAAGTTGAAATTACTTCTTGATCCATAGGCTACAGAACGGATGTTGTGTTAGCAGTCATGAAAACAACATTAATCTCCTTGTACATCTCCATCAGAGCTCTTGGATGGCTTGGTGCATTGTCAATGAACAGCAATATTTGGAAAGAAATATTATTTTTTTCCTCAACAGTAGGTCTCAACAGTGGCCTTAAAGTATTCAGTAAACCATGCCGCAAACAGATGTGCTGCCATCCAGACTTTGTTGGTCCATTTATAGAACACAGGCAGAATATATTTAGCATCATTCTTGAAGGCCCTAGGATTTTCAGAATAGTAAATGAGCATTGGCATCGACTTATAGTCACCAGCTGCATTAGCCCTAGCAAGAGAGTCAGCCTGTCCTTTGAAGCTTTGAAGCCAGGCATGGACTTCTCTTCTCTAGCTATGAAAACCCTAGATTTATCTTCTTCCAATATAAGGCTGCTTAATCTACACTGCAAATCTGTTGTTTACTGTAGCCACCTTCATCAATGATCTTAGCTAGATCTTCTGGATAACTTGCTGCAGCTTCTATATCAGCACTTGCTGTTTCACTTTGCCCTTTTATGTTATGGACTTGGTTTCTTTTTGTAAACCACATGAACCAACCTCTGTTAGCTTCAAACTTTTCTTCTGCAGCTTCCTCACCTCTTTCAGCCTTCATAGAATTGAAGCAAGGTAGGTCCTTGCTCTGGATTAGGCTTTGGCTTAAGGGAATGTTGTGTCTGATTTGATCTTCTATTCAGACCACTAAAACTGTCTCCATATCAGCAATAAGGTTGTTTTGCTTTCTTATCTTTTGTGTGTTCACTGGAGTAGCATGTTCAATCTTCAATAAACTTTTCTTTGTATTCACACCTAGGCTGTTTGGCATAAGAGGCCTAGCTTTCAGCCTATCTTGGCTTTCAACATGCCTTCCTCACTAAGCTTAATCATTTCCAGTTTTTGATTTAAAGTTAGAGACATGCGACTGTTCCTTTTGCCTGAACACTTAGAGACCACTGCAGAGTTATTAATTGGCCCAATTTCAATATAGTTGTCATTTCAGGGAGTAGAGAGGCCCAAGGAGAGGGAAAGAGATGGGGGAATGGCTGATTTGGTAGAGGAGTCAGAAAACACACACACACAACATGTATTAAGTTCATTGTCTTATACGGGTGCAGTTGGGCACCCCCAGAGCAATTACAATAGTAACATCAAAGATCACCAATCACAGATCACCATAAACATATAATCATACTAAAAAAGCTTAATGTTGCAAGAATTACCAAACTGTGACACAGACACAAAGTAAGCACATGCTATTGGAAAAATGGTGCTGATAGACTTGTTTGATGCAGGGTTGCCACAAACCTTCAATTTGTAAAAAACACAGAATCTATAAGGCATAATACAGGGAAGTGCAATAAAACGAGATGTGCCTGTATATGGAATCTAAGACAATCACACTCACAGAAGCAGAGAGCAGAATGGCCATTCTACCAGGGGCTGTGGGGAGTGAGAAGGACTGGGAAGACATTGGTCAAAGGACACCACATAATTAGAGAGGAAGAATAAGTTGAAGAGGTCTCTTGAACATTACGGTGACTACAGACTGCAGTTAAAAACAATATATTATATACTTGAAAATTGCTGAGAGTAGATTTTAAGTGTTCTCACTACAAACAATAAGTGTATGAGACCACGCATATGTTAAATGGCTTGATTTATCCATTCCACAATGTATACATATATCAAAATTGCATGCTATATACCATAAATACATACAACTTTTACATCTCAATTTAAAAAATAAACAAAAAGAAAGTGAAAGTAGAAAGCAGAAAATGTCTTGGTCACATGTGAGGCCCTCTTGGTTTCATCTTTGGTTGGAACCCAAAGAATCTTGTTTTGGGACTTATTCTTCCTGAGATACCCTCATATTTACAAAAGCAGGGGAGTTACCCCACTAATGGGAATAAACCCACTGGAAGGACTCAAATGAAATTAAATACTGACTTGGTTCTTTTTTTTTTTTTTTTTTTTTTGAGATAAAGTCTTGCTGTCACTCAGGCTGCAGTGCAGTGGTGTGACCTCAGTTCACTGCAACTTCTGCCTCCCGGGTTCCAAGTGATTCTCGTGCCTCAGCCTCATGAGTAGCTGGGACTACAGGCATGCACCACCACACCCAGCTGATTTTTTTATTTTTAGTGGATACGGGGTTTCCCCATGTTGGCCAGGCTGGTCTCGAACTCCTGGCCTCAAGTGATCCACCTGTTTCAGCCTCCCAAAGTGCTGGGATTACAGGCGTGAGCCACCGCGCCCAGCCTCCAATAGTGGCCTGGTTCTGAGACTACTTGGATAGTCCAGACGTATTCTGATTTAACAAACTTAGTGTGAACACACTTCACTAAGTGTTTTTCTGAAAATTTCAGACAAAAATCCAGCTCACTCTTGTTTAAGTGCCTTGAGGAACAGTATGTGTTTATTTTTACAGATGCATACTGTCTAGCACAGGCTCAGATATTAGTCGAATATACATGTTCACTGAAATGCCGGTTGGAATTTAATGTTCAGCAAGTTTACTGGCTCCATACTTGCTTGGGTTTATGACTGCATCAAGTTCCTGCTCTCTGCACAGAAGGAGAATGAGGATTACACTCAGCTCAGAGGAGCATGAAAATCTTGGCTCAGCCATCCCTAATGGTCTCAGAGCCCAGGCTGAGGGGTATCATTGGTCTTTGGTTTCATTTGTTGTCTCTTTAAATTGTTCTAACATTTTCTTTTTGAGATGGAGTCTTCGCTCTGTTGCCCAGGCTGGAGTGCAGTGGTGTGATCTTGGCTCACTGCAACCTCCACCTCACGGGTTCAAGCAATCCTCCTGCCTCAGCCTCCCAAGTAGCTGGGATTACAAGCATGCACCACCACGCCTGGCTAATTTTTATATATTTTTTAGTAGAGACGGTGTTTCACCATGTTGGCCAGGCTGGTCTCAAACCCCTGGCCTCAAGTGATTCACCCGCCTCGGCCTCCCAAAGTGCTGGGATTACAGCCATGAGCCACCACACCCAGCCAAATTATTTTAACATTTAAAGCTTAGGTACAAATGTTAGTCCACAGTAAAAATGACACACTGTCTCCTTGTGTCAGGCATCACTTCTTTCTGGCTGACAGAGCCAGGTGGCTCCTGAGTCATCTGGAAAAGCCTATCATAGTGCCTGGAACCTCTCCAGACCCTTCTCCAAAGCAACAGTTCCCTGCTTCTTGTTCTGACTTCTCAATATCTCACAATACCCCTCTGCTGCCCCATAAGAAGTGAGGAAACCTCCCCTAGACAGCTCTTCTGGCTCAGCACCAAATTCCCCTCTGATCTAGCTAATTCTTATAGACTCATTGTAGGAGGGAAAAGCCTGGTTCATGAAGAGAAAGAACTTGTCAATCAAAATAGAGCAGGATAAAGCAGATGTCTAAACACTGAATCAAAATAATATTCAGCAAATAGTTATTGAGCATTTACTAGGTGCCAGGGCACTGTGTCAGACGCTGAGATAACAGCCTGAATAAGACAAATCGGCCTCTAATGTCATAAAGCTTAGATCCAACTAGGCAAGATAGACTTTGCACAGAGACGCATTTAGCCAATTCAGCTAAGGGCTGCAGAGATGAAGTACAGGCACAGGGTATGAATGTGTATACCTGGGGATGACCTATCCTGCTACAAGTGGGGAATGGTGGTCTCTCAACCAGAAAGATCCTCATCAAAGTGGAAAGATCTGTGTAGAGAGACAGAAATATGTCTCCTAATTCTGTGGGATTGCAGGGAGGGGGGGGTCTGGTCTTGCAGCTTCACAGTCTGATCAATCAGAGGAGAAAGACAATCAAGGGGCAAGGAGGAAAGGGCAGCAGAGAGAGGTTGTCCACTCTCAGGAGGCCCATGTGGGTCAGAGGAGCAGTTTGGACACCACTCTCATCTTCTCCATGTCATATGGCCAACTCCAAAGCCAGATACCAAGGTGAGGATGGTGTGGGGAGAAAGATAAGAGAATAAGAACACAACCTACTGGAGCATGAGTCCCATGAGGTGGTCTCACCACACCAATCCCACTGCTAGCCCTTGACCACCATTATAACAGCCTGAACCACCCTTCAAGGGAACAACCGACCACAGCAGTAATAGCAGATCCAAGGTGCGGGTCTGAGAAAACCAGAATCTGAGAACCTCTGCGGATCTCTCACACCCCATGCAGACCCCATGGCTTCAGCCTCCCTCTGGCCTGGGCCTCTCTTTTCCACAGCCTAGGGATCTGTGACTCTTTCCTGCCCTGCAACTCCTCCCCCAAGCAACGAAATGCAGCCTTTGATGATCCAGTTATTGAACTGTGTTCTTTCCTCCTTGCCAGCTTTGTCTAGGAAACACAAAGACAGTAAACGGGGGTGGGTGAACAGAAAACTGAGATTTTTCTGGGAATGAGAATTAAGATTGGACTCAGGGTCTTTGGCCATTTCCCAAATGCAATGAGTTTATCACTGCCAGGGACAGCAAGTGTACAAAGCTCTTGGCAGTGACCTCTGCTGATTTATGGGGGTGCTGGTTTGTTTCCCCTATTCTGCAGACAACCAGTCTTAAGGGAAATGTATATTCAGAATCTGCAAAGTGCAAGGGAGTCACTGGCAAAACCAGCCAAGCCAAGCCCCTGCTGAGAGTAAATTCCTAAGGGGATGGAGAAAAAGCGTGCTGGCCCGCGTGCTCTCTCTCTTTCTTGCTTTGTCTTATTTTGTCTTGCCTTATCTTCTTCCCTCCTTTCCCACTTCCTTCCTCTCTCCCTCCGTCTTTCCCTTTCTTGCCCTCTCTCTCTTTCTCTTTCTACAACAGAGATGACTAAGCTGACTATGAACAAGCAGAACTACCAGAGGTCACTCCCACCTTGGGATGCAGTGGAGAGGCACCTCCTCCAAAGAAGATGAGGGTGGTTCTCTATATGATGATAAACCAATGCTCTAGGGCTCTAAATCACACCAGTGTCTTAGCCAGAGTCCTCAGCAGTGGGAGGCATCATATCCCTGGAGTGGTTGATGGCTGTAGTGGAGGGATGTTACCCCGATGAGCCACTCCACCTTCATTTTCTCTTCTTGGGCTAGGAGAGCTCTGCTTTCCTGGAATGCTAAGGCAGGATCAAAACCAACTAGAATCAATAGAGTCCGAGGCACAGTGAGAGCTGGAGAGAGCATGCAGTACAAACTGTCTCAAAACCACACCTGCTGAAAATCAATATTTTGCTCAGAGAGTCCTCATTTGGAAATCTCCTTTCTTTTTAGACAAAACACAGTGACTCTCTCAAGAGGTGGGGAAGCTAATCAGACAAATGACTGGGGCCCTGGGCCACAAGCATGCAGCTGAACTCCTCAAGAAGACCCTTATGTCCTCCCCTGTGCTGTGGGCTCCTAAGACAGCACAGATCTCATTTCCCAGCTTCAGAACGTCCTCCTGGAGTGGAGAACCACCCAGCTGGAGCATTGCACAGCGGCCAAGAGCTCTTCTTGTGATTTTCAAGTATCCTATTTTTCTTTTTGTAGGTGTGTGTGCCTCATCTCTGCCCTCCATACCTAAGCTGCCTAGAATCACATCCAGACTTTGGGAGCTTTTGGGTCCCATGTAGTCTCTTGAAGGAAAATGAGGCTGTGTGGACAGAATGTGGTGTTGCTGTGTGGGGTGATGGACAAGGAACTGGACTGGGAGCCAAAAGCTCACCTTTCTAGTCCTGTCAATCACACAATTAAATGTGGAAGTAGAAGTGGAAGCACTACAAAAATGATTATACATGTCAAGTGGCAATAATAATTTCATGCTGTGACTGTCCTTGCAAGGGATGATTTGTGGGATGAGAGAGATTCTGGAGAAAGAAGCAAAGAGGATTTGGGAGCAGAGTCTAGCTGTACTATTTCAGTTGTTGGTGATGTTTGCTCTGAAGTAGTGCTTAGGTTTAAACACCCCCATTTTACAAATGAGGATACTGAAACTCTAACAGGTCAAGTGGCTTACCCAAGGTAAGTATGGAACCAGGATTTGAACCCAGAGCTCTGTGACCCCAAAGCTCACGCTCTTCTCACATTGAAGTGCTGCTTTTCATTGTCCTTTACTTGGGTCCCAAGGGGAGTCAGTACTGGTTGGCTGAGACAAAATCCCTCCATGTGTGGTTGCAGGAAAGTTAGGAGCCTCCTCTTGAGTCCTAAATCTGAGTCATCCTAGTAGAAGGTGTGGCCACTGCTTACAATTCCCTTTTGGGTACTATTCACTATCACTGCTGTTAGCAATGGTAATGGCCAAGACACCAGGGATGGCCCAGGCTCTGGTTTCTCACTTAACAGGCAGTCCATGCACAACTTGCCATCTATACTTGAAGGGAGCTATGAACATCTTTGGAAACAAGGTCCCAACCTGGTAAAGCGTTGAGGGCTGATGGGCCCTTAGGAAGTCATAAGTCTGTATCCTTGAGTCTCACCTTTCAAGAGACTTGAATATGTTTGACCAAAGGTCCTCAGACCTTAGGCATGGTTAGCTGAAGCCTAGGGAAAATGAGCTTTTCTTCAGCACGGTTCTTGCAGGACAGCACAGTGGTGAGGACTTGAAGTGGATCACAAATCAGTATCTGCTTAACAAACATAGAAGAGGCAACAGAAAAGATACCGCAACAATATGGACATCCACATAAGTGAAAGATAGGAAGCTGTTGCTCCTTCTGGATGTATCTTTGGATGAACAACCTGGGATCATGTGGATCTAAAATGGGAAGTGCCCCCTTTGGATTTCCTTAGCCTCCTAAGTAGGACATGGGAGCCCTGTGTTTCCACATAAGGCATCATTCCAGGTCATAAGAGGATGTGAGAGTAAATGATCCTTTGCCTTTACTCTGCAAAGCATCTATAAAAACAGATTTAATTTAACTGGCCAAAGGGCACAGTATTTTCATGCTGTTCAATCCCTACTCTTAGAAAAGTGTAGCTTCAAAGACAGCTTTGCATATTGTCTTTCACCTACCCAAATACCAGGGATGTTAACTTAGAAAAGTGTTTTCCTGGCCAGGCGCAGTGGCTCATGCCTGTAATCCCAGCACTCTGGGAGGCCAAGGCGGGCAGATCATGAGGTCAGGAGATCGAGACCATCCTGGCTAATATGGTGAAACCCCGACTCTACTAAAAAAAAACAAAAAATTAGCTGGGCGTGGTGGCAGGTACCTGTAGTCCCAGCTACTCAGGAGGCTGAGGCAAGAGAATGGCGTGAACCCAGGAGGCAGAGCTTGCAGTGAGCCGAGATTGTGCCACCACACACCAGCCTGGGTGACAGAGCAAGATTCCTTCTCAAAAAAAAAAAAAAGAAGAAAAGTATTTTCATTTCCTCCTCAAGGAGGTCATGGGGTTTGGTATAAGGAATCTATGCTTAGATGTAGCAACCAAGAAATTTTGGAATTGAACTCTTTGACGTCTTCTCTCAGTAGCTGTCAGGAACTACTAGTCTGTGTGGTAATAAACAGAACTGGATCACAAATGACTGATTTATTCTCTGCAAAATGCATCCCTCCCTCTGCTGTTCATCTCCCAAAAATAAAACCACCTACAGGATAAAATGAGCAACCCCCAGAGCAAGCAGTGTCACAGAATTCCTTATTAAAATATGTCTGGCATGAGAGTCTACCAGGAAATGCCTTCCAATAGAGGATTAATACCAGGAAACTTGGTGTGGTCTTGTGATACTGGCACGCAATGCCGCCACCTCCACCACTGGAGCAAAGATGAACAGCTGGGAAGACTTCTACTTCTGAATAATCTGGGCAAACCTAAAATCATACTCTACTGGGCTTTGGCTTTTAAACAAAGCAAATGGTAGAAACCTTGCATTCCTTAATCAAGTTGCATTTAAACATCTACACTTAGGTAATAATATAAACGTTTTGCTAGAGGCTTCTTGTCTGCTCATGGCGGATGTGGACTTGACGGTATCTTTCTCAGCTCTTTTATCACGCAGACCTCATTCTGGCCTTGAGCATGCTCTTTGATCCTTTTGTGAGTTCATCAAGGCCAAGCAGAGCTGTGGTAAGTCAGACCCAGGGCCGCTTAAGGAAAGGAACCTCCCTACGCATTTGTATATTCACAGCGCCTAGAACATCTGACACTTAGTGGGTATTCCAAGTTTTGCTGAATCGGCACATTGTAGGAATTTAATTTAACCTGCTTTTCTTGACTATCTACTAGGTGTACTCCCCAAGGTTGTCTCTCCAAAGTTGAAAGCTAAGGGACAAATTGTCCCCCGCTTCTTTGATAGGCACAGCTGAAAATGTTATAATTCTGGAATGAATTATCAGCATTTAGCTGACATTCAGCATTCAGCATTACCTTTGTGATGCAGGAACTTATAAAAGGTAAAGAAGACCAAATTTCTGCTCCCATGAAATAACTTTCAAATCCAGAGGTCTGGAAGGCCCAGACACTCCAGGTACAGGGCAGGGTGGGGCATCTTAGCAGGTACCACAGGTCAGGAAAGCAGTGGGGCTGGGACGAGTAGGAAGGTGAGGTGGGAAACTGCAAGGATCAAAGCCAATGGGGCTGGACTGGCTTGTCCTATTCCACTATCAGTCCACTTAAAGGACAGATTTCCAATCCAATCCTATCTCAATGAAGTGCTTTCTTAGGTCTGGTTTGTTTTGTTTGAAAATGATGTGCTTTTAGATAAGCTCTGCCTGATGGCAAAAAAAAAGCCATCTGGGCCTCCTATTTCTCATGTTATTTCCCTCTGCACAGAATATTATGCCGCACGGGTCAAGGTTTCCCAACTTGAATGGGAGAATGGATGTTCATGACATGGGTGTATGGGCAGATGGACAAATGATTGAATGGATCCAGGGAGATAGTCCTTGGAACATCCTTGGTACTCTGAGATTTAAAATGGAAGCCAGGCAGCCACTGTGCTGGCATTTGATTTCTATCTCATCTAGAGCCTGTGAAGGCTTTGGAAAGAGACAAATGCCCTACAAGGAAGCTGAAGGTTCTCAATACTTCCTGTGGTTTAATTCTCTCCACCAACAACTGCCAGCAGAGCTTTATATGACATGCCCCAGGGTTCAGAACTCTCTCTTGGCTCCAGCCTACTATGCCCATCACCATGGGATTCACCATCTTCCAGGTAAAAGCCTGCAATGCTTTGCTACTGTCTTCAGGATGAGAAGCTCAAATTCCTTAGGATGCATTCCAGGACCTGAAAATTCAGTTCTTACATCCTTTTCTGGCATTTTTTCCCATCTAAGGGCAGATATTTTGAGAGAATTTCTTTTGGATCCAGCTTAGAATTACGAAACCCCAGAGAGTACTAAAGTCATTAATTTTTGTGAGTTCACACTTACAAATATATAGCACTTTTTACTTTTTCAAAGATTTTTCAGGGCTATTAGCTCATCTGATTTCTCTGAAATCCTTAGCGGGCTGTAAAGAAGACATCACCCCCATCACCCAGATGAGGAAACTAAGGCACAAAAGGTCAAGGCCCTTGCCTCAGACCACATAGCAAGCAGGTGACAATGCAGGTCCTTTAAGGCCACATGGTTGGGAACAGAGAATTAAATCCATAGCATAAAGAACTGAGTCCTTAAAAAAAAATAATCATGGCCTATATATTTTTCTCCCCTCACAAGGCTAAATCTATGAAATTGGAACAACACAGCAAACAGCTGAGGACTATGGTCACAGCCCACAGACCTTTATGGAAGATTTGGTCTTGGCCCAAAATTTTCAAAAAAGCTAAACGGATCAGCAAAACACAAGTACAAATGCTGGGCCCACGATAACAGGGTGTCTTGTGAAATATTTCCACAGGAAGCAAATACAGGCAATTAACTTGGCTCTAACAATGCGTGTGGTCAAATAAGAAACAAAACCCATTGGAGAGAGGCTGCACCCCACCCCCAGTCCCTGCTTCCAGTGAATCCATAAATCTGGCTGTACTTTCTCTCAGGCTACTGAGCACTAATATTAAAGCATATGACCACTGCAGGGGGTTTATGAGAACCATCATGACCAGCTGAGGAAGCCACCCAGAGCCCCTGAGCCCCATGGGCTGAGGTGTTAACATCCCCATTTAACAGAGAGGCAAACCGAGAAGAGAAAGTTTAAAGAACTTAAATGGATAATTCTAGAAGGAACTCCCAGACTCTTGGCCTTTCTCTAGGGACTAGAACTTCTCCAGGTCTCAGTGCGACCACCAAGCCCTCAGCACTAACAATCCAGGGACAGTGTGGTCTGAGCAGAATCTTGGCCAGCAAGCGAGGACATCTGAGTGCAAGTCCTGGCTGGTCATGGGCTGCTGAGGATTTTAACCTCCTTTTTATACCTGGGAACTTCTGAACTGCACCTACTTTGCTGGGGCAGGCAGCCAGTGCTGTCCAGGAAGGTAAGGCAGTGTGAGTCTCTTGGCACCTGCTGACCTCTGCTCCGCAACACTCAATCCTCATGTAGAAACATTCACAATTCAGATTGCTGTGTTGCCATGGCTGCGTCAAAACCAAGTCTCCTCTAACTTACTCTCCCCCAAAAACTGAAGATCCTTTATGCCCAATCCTCTATCCTGTAGCTTTCTGGATTTCTTGAAGCATTTCAATAATTTTCATGACCATGTGCTAGATTTTATTTAGCACAGGGTCACAAACTACAGTCTGTGATTCAAATCTACAGATACAGACCTGTGATCTAGATCTTTACATCCCATGAGCGAAGAACAGTTTTTATGTTTTTAAGTGGCTGAAAAAAACTAAAAGAAGAATTGTATTTTGTGAAAAATTATATGAAATTGGATTTCACTGTTCATAAATAAACACAGCCATAGGTCCTCATTTATGTTGTTTACATTGCTATGTTGTTGCATTGTAGCTGCTTTTGTATGCAGAATCGAATAGTTGTGACATAGACCACATGACTCACAAAGCCTGCAATGTCTACTATCTGGCTCTTTTTAGGAAAAGTATAGTTTTTTAACTGACCCCTGTTTTAGGTAAAAGGCAGGTTACAGGATCACGCTATTTGCAAAATCGCCCTGTTGTGGAATGAATGTTGTGTCTCCCTAAATTTCATATTGTTGAAGCCCTGATCCTCAGTGTGGTGGTACTTGGAGGTGGGTCTTTTGAGAGGTAATTAGGTTCAAATGAGGTCATGAGAGAGGCCCTTATGACGGGATTAGTGTTCTTATAAGAAGAGGAAGAGAGACCAGAGTTATAAGGACACAGCAAGAAGGCGGCCACCTGCAAGCCAGGAAGTGAGCCCTCACCAGCAACCAAATCTGCTGACACCTTAATTTTGGATTTGTCAGTCTCGAGAACTGTGATAAATTTCTGTAGTTTAAGCCACCCAGTGTGTGCTATTTTGTGGTAGCAGCCTGAGCAGACCTTACACGTAGCTACACACATAAATCAAGGAAGAAAATACACCAAAATAGGGGTTATCTCTGGGTGCTAAGGTTATGTGAAATTATTTAAAAATTTTTACCAAATACATTAAACACTACGGCTTAAAAAGAGAATATTAGTGACATTAGAAAAATAAGATGGTAGTATTTACTCTGTCTTATTGTGGGCCAGACATCGTTAGTGGTTGACATGCTTCCTTTCACCTGGTCCCCATTCCACCCCTATGTGTAGGCTCCATTGTATCCCTGTTCTACAGATGAGGAAAGGAAGACTCAGGGAATTTAAGCAACTTGTCCAAGGTCACTCTGCTAGAAAGGAACACTTTGTATATTTATGGTGGAAATACACTTCAGAAGCAATAGGAAATTGGTCTGAAAATAGGGATTGGCTTAGGAAGAGTGTTTTATTTGAATTCATGGGAGACTAATCCTAGCAGATAATGAAGAAGATGGGGATGCTTAAGACATCCTCATGTCTAGTCTAGATTGCTGTAGAAATTAGATAGAATGTATTTAGAAGTACTTGGAAAATGGTAGAGCACTGTAGGTTGGATATTGAGATACTTGTCAATATGTAACCTTCGTTAGGCTGACTTCCCCACTTCTTCCATCAAAACTTTCTTGAAGTAGAGACAACATAAATGTCCAAGAAGAGAGGACTGGTTGACTAAACTATGGTGCCTCCACACAACGGAATACTATGCAACAATTAAAGAACCAGGCGATAATCATACTGTTGCTGTATTTTTAGCATTGTGGTTTAGAGACTGCTCTGTGTAGTATAAAGCAAATGAGTAATTATGCTATCATCCAGTGCCCTTGAAAGTCAGGATTGTCAGCATAGAGAAAAGAGGCACAGGTGTAAGAAACAAGCGGTTAAATAAAATCCCCTGTAGGTCAGAATTTGAATTAAAAGTATCAGTATGAACTCAGGATGTATTTTTATTATAAACAGCAACACATTTCCTAGCTCTGTCGACTGAAAAGGGCTGGAAATGATAAACAATCCAGGAACAATGAAACACTCTAAGTGCCTAGATTTTAGTCTCTAAATACCATTTCTCACTAAGAGGAATCAGGGATCCTTGGAGAAACAGCTTATTCTGGGTAAGGGCAAAGACTGGAATATCTTAGCTTCCCTGCTATTTGGATGATGTCAAAGATCACTCTTAGGGCTGTGTCAGAAAGAGCCAACTGGCCAGAGATGGCCCAATCCAAGCATCAATAAAAGTAATCAGCAAAATGGATTAAAACATAGCATATATGTTTAAACTCATGAGTTTACAAAGATAGTAAAACCAAAATAGACCCTAATGTTTACCATAGGAAGATAATAGCAAACCACTCATTTTGAAAACTGGCAAATGAAGGGAGAGAATCAAATATTTATCCTGCTTTTCTTATGTGAATTGTACTGCTAGTTAATACCATAGTGGTGGAGGGAAGTTTCTCTTTATGAAAGTATTCCAGCTAATAAGTGAAGAAAGAATAAAATTAGTACGTTGTTGTTTTGTAACCTCTAATTAACTAATGGATATAAGCGATAGACATCAATATCTGCAAAAAGGTCAAAAAGAGAGGTGGCTAGACATGTGCCTTCTGATAGGAGAGCACCACACAATCCATGAAGTGGTTTTGTCCATAAAAATCAAACCTAAATCTGATTAAATATCTTATAAAACGAATTTATAGGAAAGAGAGATGATAGAAGAACATGCTAAATAGCACCACAGGGCTGCAATCAGAAAAATCCAGAGCTTGGAACTCTTTACAGGACAAAGGATCTAAATCCTTCATCAAATAAATTGCAAGGGGATGTGAGGAAGGGAGGGAGATAAAGGATATTGTGGCAATATTAAAACAAAAGGATCTTTTTTTTAGAGATACATATCTAAGTTTACAGATGAAATGATGCAACATCTTGGATTTGTTGTAAAGTAACCTGGTGGCAGGTGAAAAAGTAGATGGGGCTAGAGATAAAGCAAGATCAGACGTGTACTGATGATTTTTGAGGCTGGATGAGGGTCTATAAATGTTTGCTGTTTTGCTGTTTCCACTTTTCCAAGTGTTAAAAGTTTTCATAATAAAAAATTAAAATAAATCCCTCCTGATGTCATGCTTGGAGTGTTAATACTGTGCTAGATGCATCAAGGTTTTGACCAGTATCCCTCTTCTTGTGTTTCATAAATATTGGAGTTTGAGCTTCAGCTTGTTCATGCAGGGAACCCCCACGGAACTCCCCTGTCACTCTCCTCTCTGGCCATGTCAATATGGTGCTTGAAAGCATACGTACATACACATAAGCAAAAATATCTCAGCAAAGAGCTCTCATGACTCAAACATTCTGCTTTGAAGCTGCAAGGGGTATATGAAGGAGTCATGATTTCGTGATTGGCACAGGCATTTGATGGAGCTCGTGACCAGGGGGAGAGAAGTAGATAGTTATGGTGTTGAGGTTGGTAGGTGTTTCCATCTTGAAGTTCTGAGCAAATGACAAGGTAATTCTGGATGATAAGGGACACTGTTCTCATGCCATTATTTGCATTGGTGCAGCTACACTGAGTTTCCTAAATCAGATAATAATGTCTGCAAGGGGCAAACCACCCAAATTCTCTACTGGGGGCCCCAGAGGTGAGAGAAGTAAGTGGGGTCAAGGAGATAAGCAAAATCTTAAGCCCTGTCACTGGGTGTGGGATGGTGACAGGAAATAGAAATTAGGGGCCAGGAAGTAAGAAACCAACCCAATGCTTATTTTTAGAAATGGCACCTCCCAGCCGTCAAAATTTAGTCTGCTGGTTAGGGTGGTTCCTGTTTCTTTAGCCAGCATCACTAGCATCTGTGAGCATCTTAATTGTGTCCTACAGGGTTGGGAGTCCCTCCTGCAGGCTTGCTTTAACCTAGGGTTCACCCATTTGGGGCACTTTTCACACTGTTGAAGTTGCCCATTTACTTGTCTGTCTCCCACTCAACCTCGGTGAGAACAGGGGTTTTGCCTGTTCTTTGTGGTATCTTATCACATAGCGCAGAGCCTGGAATATAGATGTGCTTAAAAAATATTCACTGCAGAGCTGGAGATCACTGCGGAAGCAGTGTAGAGAGGTGGTTATCAGTGTGGGCTTCAGAGGTAGACAGATGTGGGTTTGACTCATGGCCCTGCTAACTCACTACACCCACTTCCCCAATGCTGTGTTCTGGTTTCCAGATTCTATCACTGACTTATTACAAGCCTTCAGATTTTGTAAAACACTTTGAGGCTTTCCTGGAACAAATAAAGCATATAACTGCACATTTTGGTTTCTATGTAATACATAACCCATCTAGGAAAACGATCCTGGGATTTTGCTGTGCGCCTATCTGAAATGGTTTCCACTGATGAACTTAAAAATAACCAAATCTGAAATTTTAACTACCCACAATGCCTTGAACTTGTGTTAATAGGTCAGGCAATGAAGGGGACAAATGAACACCTTATGACAACCACTTGAGTAGATAAGCAAACCTGGGCGTCTTCAAATGTATATCTCCCTCCATCTTTGACATTTTGACTGGTTATCTCATAGCTGTGAGAATCCAGGTTGATTGCACTTGGAGCCCCTGGAGCCAGAAACTCTTGCCAGATTTCTTCTACCCTCTTGGCCACATCCTGTAGGGGTTGTTTCTTAAGATCTTGGACAGCCAGCCAGAACCTGAAGTGGGAGCAGAAACACAGTCAGTTCCAGGGGGCTCAGCATCGGGATGTTGCCTGAGATGGCCCCAGAGCTGATGTCCCATGAAACCCATTCTGCTGCATCTCTCAGCCTGCCCTGATGCCACTACATGAGCTGCAAAGACCATGGAGATTGTGAAAACATCAAAGGTGTTCCTATGGTGCAGAACAGAAAAGAATTGCATATTAAAAGATCAATGTGCTTCTCGTTATCAGAACGGGATTTCTCTCCTTCTACATGAAGGTTTCTCAACCTCAGCACTATTGCCACTTCAGGCTGGATAATTCTTTGTTGTTGAGGCTATTCTGTGAAATGTAGGATGTTTAGCAGCAACCTTGGCCTCTACCCACTAGATGCCAATAGCAACCCCCCTTCCCAAGTTATGACAACTAAAAATGTTTCCAAACATTGCCCAATGTCCCCTGGGAGATGAACTCATTCCTGGTTGAGAACCCCAGTGCTACATACATGCCACCATGCAGACAGTGTGAGACCCTTTGTCAAATCTAGTTGGGATCAAGTGATGGCATCAAAATGGAGGAGAGATCCCAGAAGCAGGCAGTGTCCTGGAATCATAAAGACTATCTGTGTAAGAATGAACCAGCCATTCCTATTATAGATGGAGAAACTGAGCCAATTCACATCAGTGCTCAGCACGGTGCTTGGCAAATAGTAGGTGCTCAATATATGGGTTTCAGAGTGAAGACGGACGCATCTGGAGCAATGCTGAAGAGGCATATGTTGAAAACTTCTCTGCAGAATGGTTCTCCTTCTGCTGAGAGCAAGAGAGAAAAATCTGCTCACTTCCGTATTTGCCTCTGTTTAAT
The DNA here is from genome assembly GCF_000001405.40 of Homo sapiens. Lineage (NCBI taxonomy): Eukaryota > Metazoa > Chordata > Mammalia > Primates > Hominidae > Homo > Homo sapiens. The sequence goes on along the minus strand of NC_000014.9, from coordinate 72,517,502 downwards.
CCCTCAGCATCCGCATGGGAGCAGTGAGCTCTTTTCTGCTGAGAGCAGCAGCAGCCAGAGCCAAAGCTTGGACAACAGCTACCGGGTCTTAAGGATGGTTCCCAAGGCAGCCTTGCAGCAGGATCCAGGTCTGGGTGTCATATCCTTTGCCCTGTGCATGGACAGGCCAGCTCCCCCATCAGTGAGTAAGAGAGTAGGTCCTGTGCTGGTTCCGAGAGCAGCGGGAATCACAGGTAGTCTAGTCAACAGAAAGGGAGGGACAAGCGAAGCTGAAACATGACGTGGTGGAAAGTGCAGACAGTGCATTCAATCTGTCATCAAATTTCATCCAAAGTAAGATGTACTTGTTTCTTTTTTTTTTTTTTTTAGGGTTAAACATGTTTTTCTGTTGCTGTTCAGAGAAATGTCTTTGGAGCCAAGTGCATGGCCCAAAGGTGCCACTCAGTGGCAGACTGGAGTAATGCAACCCAATTTCTGCAAGGCAAGACGACTGTGTGTGTGTGTGTGTGTCCCCAAATGCTGGGCTCCAACTCTTCCCCTGATTTGCCATTTTTTGCCATTTAGGATTCTGATGATCTCCTTAAAGGAACCTCTCAGCGACCCTGCAGAGCCAAGCGTAAGGCAGAGAAGGCTTCATGACTTCCATCAGATCAGGAAGCTGGCTCTGCCCTCATCCTGTCTACGCCATATCTTGCCTTGGTGTACCTTTCTGGGTGCCTCTCTCTTCATCTGTAAAATGGGCACTGAGTGGATGGAGGGATATGTGGCATGGCTCTGGAAAACTTCCTATGCAGACTTAACTCAGAAATGCTTTCAGGTCCTGTGAGGGGGAGCTGAGGAGGGGTCAGTGTGGTGGCCACAGGCTCAATGCTGGCCCAGTGTGATCCCTCGGATTCCAGCCTTCTCTCCGCAGGTGGCCTGGGCAGATGCTGCCGCCCAGCTCTTGCTGCTGCCATCTGGTGTCCCCTGCCCTTCCACAGCTCTCTGACAGCCACAAGTCCTGGGTGCTCAGGTCCTTCTGGCTTCTGGGTGAGAGGAAAGCAGTCGTGTTTCTTTATCCAGAGTCCAGAGAGGGTGGGGAAGGAAGGGCTTGAAAGGAGCTGTTCCCCTACCTCATTGTTCAGGTGGGCCCTTGACTCTTGAGCTGGGGCATGGGTCTCCTCCATCTCCCAGGCCTGCCCTAGGTTCTGTAGGGCTCTCTGTCCACTCTCTCAGGTCTGCTGTGAAAAGAAGGAAGTGGCCGGGAGGCTTGCCAAGTGAAAATGGCCATCTGCTGGTGAGAGTACCTACAAGGCTTTCTCTGCCTGGAAGGCCATGTCTGACCAGTAGGTGAAAGATGCGGGGAACCTGGCTCTATAGGAAGAAGCCAGTGTTGGCTTTTCCAAGGCCCAGAAGGGGTCAAATGTCCAGAGACGAAGTCAGTGAGGCTTCCTCAGCCCCATGCTAGGCAGACAGGAGAACCAGGTTCACAGAGGGAGGCCGTCTGGGCTGAATCCCTGGCTGGAAGCAACCTTCTGGGTCAGCGTCTTCCCACGCCCCCTGGGCCCCTGCAACTTCTCACACAAATGGATGACACCTGGGTGATTTCCTGCCCCCTCAATCAATGCCACATGGGAGGTCACTTTCTGTCACCTCTGTCAGCACTGAGGAGGAGCTGCTGAGCCCCTGTGGGAAGGCCCTGAGGACCCTGGGAGCTCTGCAGGCTCCCTGCGGTTCCTGAGGGCTCAGGGTCCTTTTTGCAGGATGATTTGGGTGCCACATGAAAATGTACATCACTCAGCTGGATATAGAGATGACCGGAGCTGATGGAAATACAAATTTCATAATCAATTTTTTTGAGACAGGGTCATGATCTGTCACCCAAACTGGAGTGCAGTGGCTACATCTCGGCTCACTGCAACCTCCGCCTCTCAGGTTCAAGCTATTCTCCTGCCTCAGCCTCCTGAGTAGCTGGAATTACAGGGGCATGTCACCATGCTCAGCTAATTTTTGCATTTTTAGCAGAGATGGGGTTTCACCATGTTGGCCAGGCTGGTCTTGAACTCCTGGCCTCAAGTGATCCGCCCGCCTTGGCCTCCCAAAGTGCTGGGATGACAGGCGTGAGCCATTGCACCAGGCCGCGGAATCAAATTTAATAAACTTTTATGTAAAAATAAAAAGGTTTTCTTTGTCACATAAAACCAAGAATTTTTTTAAGTACAAGTGAAAACAACAGGCATGCTGGAGGAAGAGGAAGGGGAGGGGAGAGAAAGGGAGGGAAGGAGGGGGAAAGGGCAAGAAGGGAGAGGGGGAAGGTATGGGGTAACATTCCCTAGACAGCAGTTTTCTCTCCCTGCACACACTGGGGACTCTCCCTGGCCTTCTGTCTGCCTTGGAGTTGACCTGCCTTGTCTCTCTCAGGCAACAGCAAAACTGCTGTCACAGCAGCATCCTGACATCCCGTATGTGTTTACCATCACTGGTTTTGAGGAACCTTTGTGTCAATTTGAAATTCAGAACAGGCTTTGGTTAGTGTTGGCCATCTTCGAGCCCCACAGGCCTGAGCTGGGAACTCAGAGCCCAGGCCACATTCCCCGCTGCAGAGAGCCACAGCAGCTCCTCTCTGCACATCTGCTGCCCATGGGAAGCCCCTTGAAGCTTTGGAAGCTTCTGCTCTTATAAAAAACCTGCAGGTACCGCTCCTCCCCAAGGGCAGCGGCAGGGAGTGAAATGCCAGCAGCTGCATCAAATCCATCCATCCTGCACTGAGCCTCCATGGCTTGCAGCAGAAGGGCCGTTGTGACTGGCAGGCCACAAGGACTAATATCTGGGAGACCACCTGTCCTGACCTGCCCCTGGTCTCTGCCAATTGTCATAGCTGCAGTAGGGAGGCAGCCCCTGTGCGGGCATTTGATCCGTGTTCATGACTTAGAAATGCTGGCGGGGAAACTAGCTTTTGGAGCGAGGCAGCCTGGGCTCAGATACCACTGGGGCGAAGCAGTGGAGAACAGGGCTGGAGGACCATCCAGGGGCTGCCCCAGTGGGAGCCTCCTTTCTCCCTAGAGGCTTTCAAGGAAGAGGATTTTCTCAAGGCTGGCTGGGTAAGACAAACCATTTGGCCCTTGATCATTCTCCATCCTACCAGGAGGTCTGGGCAGGCCCTCAGTCACCAGTTTACATATCTTTTCATAAACTAGAATTTTCATGGGTTAGAAAATACAGCTTTTGGTTCGCTCCCAGAGAAAAAGCAAACTCCAGGAGAGAAGAAAGTGTTTCTATGCCCTCTGCTGGTCAACCAGAGACGTAGGCAGCAGAGCTTAAACTTGGTTTAGTTCCCGGTGGGGCTAAAATTCCGGGGTGCCTACGTTAGTAACCACCCCCAGCACCACTGAAGCTGAGTTCTGTTCACTGGGCAGTGACTGAAACACTGCAGATGGTTGTGGTGTCGTGGGAGTCACCTCTGTTCCTATTAATCATGGGTTTGGTAAGTGGTGGATCCTGCTGGGCCTAGTGAACCTTCTGAGGTCTTCCTTGGACTCAGGGCAACTGCCAGAGACAAGAGCTCTCGAGATGAACCTGGTGCCCCACTGTGTTCTCTTTTAATTGCTTCTCCCTTCAGCCGACACTGTGTGGAACTCGGATCATCAATCTGCAGGTTAGAAGAACAACTACCTTCTCTCAGGAGATGTTACAGCTCACAAAAAATGTACGGGGGACACTCTTTGCTGTGGGTTTTGATTTTTAACTCATTCTCTGCTGTGCAGCAGAGGGTGTCAAGCCAGGGAGGACAAAGATTTGTGTAGGGGAGATGTGGGAGAGGGAGCAAAGATGGGAAGGAGTGACTGTCATTATTCTGGGAAAATGCACAAAGCAGGAAGAAGGATGAGGCCAAGAAACTGAGCGGAGCTCCCTGCATCAGAGCTGTGAGGCCCCTGCCTTGTGGACAGAAGCCATGAGCATTCCCAAGGCACTCAACAAACAGCTGTCTGTGGGTCCACTCGGTGCAAAGGGAGCCTGCACCCAGCTCAGGTGGGTCAGAAAAGGAGAAAAAGAGGTAGACCCTGCCACAGAGAGCTCACAGCTTCAGCAAAATGCGCTGCTGGTCATACCCCACCCAGTCCACAGAGATGATGCCCCCACCCTCATCTCACAGACCCACCCAGAAGACACTGATCAAAGGGGATGTCAACTTCTATTACATCATCATAGAAATTGTTCCTTAAAGGATCCAGGGTGACACTTTGGGGCTCCTCCATTCCGCATTCTGAAGCTCTGATAGAAATTCAGCCACTTGGCTACTTAACTGGCACCCCGTGGGTTGTGCAAGAATGTTATGATCTAAGCAGCCCTTTCACTGGAGAGATGAGAGGGAGCACAGGAGGACAGAGGAAGTGGAGAAGCACTTTGTAATTTACCCAGGTGAGTTCTGGTCAGGCTTTTTCCTGCCATGCTCCAATGCCAGTGGCCTGGGCCCCTCACCAATCCTGCGGAGAAGGGACGACTCCAGCACGGCCAACATGACAGGTTGGCAGGATCCTCAAGTTGTGCCATATTGCACAACTCCCAGGGGCCTCCATGGCATGAGCCACAGTGGAGGTGCATCTGTATAGCCATGCCTGGCCACCCTGATATTTACTCAGTCAGCTCTAAATCCGCCAGCCCTGTGCCACGGTTGGTGCTAAGATGATATCTGCAGCTGAAGGGATGAACGCAATGGAACGGGGAAAAGGCTGCCCTGTGATGGGTGACTGAAGAGTCCTACAGTTATGTGATTTACGACTGAGCTTCTCTCTCACCCACCATGTATCCAGTTATGCTGAATATCATAAAAATGGAATTTGGGCATCCAGAGAGGATTTTAGAGGCTCTTGGCTATCCTTTTCCTCCCTGCTATTCTATTTCCTTTCCTGTCATGGAGCAGGGGTGACCCTCTGAAGTCTGGATTTCTGCATTCTGGGGGTGTGGCTTAGGCTCTGGCACATGAACACATGCTCACATGCATGCTTTCACCCAAGATTAAATGTAGCCCTCCTGGCATGGGGAAAGGAGCTGGCAGAGGCGCAGGAGGTGATGGCAGGAAGAAGCACTGAACACCTGCCAGGGACACACTCCTTGGTGCACTCTGGGCTTTAAGTGTGATGCATAATTTGTGAAACTAGTCTGAACTGATATGTGGTTCTGGCTACACTCGGGACTTTCTAGAATGAATGCTCTGACCAGGCAAGGTGGCAGCTGAGCCAGTGGATGCTCCTGGGACCCTCACAATGACCAAACTCTGGGTCATTCTTCAAGCTCTCTGCAAGAGTGCAGGCAGCAGAGGGTCCTGAGGCTACTTACGGGCTTAGAGGTAGTTAGGTAAAGGGGGCCTCTATACCGCTCCATCTTGGAGACCCAAGGGGAACAGGTAAGAAGGGAAGATGAGAAGGACTCCCAGGGGTGGCTCATAGGGACCATGGAGGGGGTGGAAACTGGGACTGAGCTGGCTACACAGAGAGGCCACCTGGGTCCATCAAGCTGGCCACAGAGAGCCTTCCTTCCTATACAGGGAGGCTAGTCTGAGCACCACCCTAGTGAAGAGTATTAGAAGTCAAGCCTTCTGTTACAAATGCTTCATTAGGCATTGAAATGAAGCTCTGAGATGTGTTTGGAATCATGCTTCAGCACAAGGAAAGGCTCTTGTATAATAACCCAAAATAAGATACTCAACCTTGTCTGGTTTATAACAGACACGTGGATGCCTAGAACAGCACGCTCCATACAGCTAGTCGGCATCTACGTGTCCTCTCAGGACCTTATGGAGTGGGAGAGTCCCACGGCCACCTCTTTCCTCATTTGGTCCTCCAGCTTGGAATATTCTCTCTCCTGCTTCTTCGTCTACTATTATCCTGTGTATTCTTCAAAGTCCAGCTTATGATTTAACTACTTCAGCTTTGATTCTTCTCCTTTAAATGCTTTCGAAATGGTTCTTAGAGTTTACACTCATTTATAGACATTCAATGATTTAATCATTTCTTGTGTTTTTTCCTCAAGGACCTACAAGGTCGTTACAGGCAAAGATCACACATCTTGACTTGCATCTCTCAGCAGACTCTCACAGGGCTTGATACAGCACAGGTGTAGCATAAATATCACTTGATTGACGTATGGGACCGATGGTCTCAACTTCAAATAAGTGCATGGATGTTGCACATTAACTTTGGAGGGGCAGTCCTTTGCCCGCAGCACATGCTCTGAGTTTTTAAAGTAATACAATATTGAAACATTATTAAGACATCTTTAAAGAAAACAGCACTGGAAGATGGGTGTTACTCTACTATATAAACCAAAATCTGGTACAAAGAAAAAAGAAAGAGAGAGATTCCATCTTACCCATTAAAAAGTCACCAGTTTGCTAAGATCACTAGATAAGTCTCAGATAAGTCACATTTTCTGCAGATTTCTGATTCTTCATCTAATACCATAAAAGTCTAAATAAACAAGTTCCCAAATTTTTCATAACCAAGGAGACTTTTCCTTTCAATTCACCCCCTTTTCTTCCTCTCATATTGGACCTGAGGTTTTGAATATCTTATTTTTTTCTCCTATTAAATAGTAATTATTAATACATTTCCCTCATCAAGTATTAGTTATAGACCAATAGGAACAATCAGGTGTTCTCACTGGCGTCAGATGATCAGAGTAACCACTATTTGGAGTCGACAGAAGTCATTCTAAAAGAAAAAAGCATGTTTTTATTAGCTGCTACTGTTACGTAGCTGCTACAGTTACATCACCAGTTACTGAGTGATATTTACTTTGCTCTTTGAAATTCTGAAATGAGCCCACTGACTTCTCCCTCTTCCGTTTAGCTTCTCAGATATTCAGGACCCCAGACTGGGAAGTTTTGAGGAGACAGCCTCTGAGATGCCTCTCCACTCTGAAGCTCCCTGGTTCTATGGCTGTACTTAATGAATGATGTTGTCAAATCCGTTTGACTAATTATTATTGAAGACTTATTTCCAATTAGTCGCACAAAGGTCATATAGACTTGAACTGAAACATGCTGGTGTTAGTAGGTGCTATTATGGTGGTGACAGAGTTACATATTTTAATTTGTTCTTCTCCATTTCAACCTCAGCCAGATTAGCTGGCATTTGAATTTGAACCCTGATAACGTTTCATTGAGAGAGAGAGAGATGGAGAGACCGATTATGCAAATTTCTTCACACACATTCCGCACACAGCTCAAACTTTGAGAGATTTACCTGAGGTTTTCTGAACTGAATTCGGACTCCAGGAATCGTAGAAACTGGTCCCGCCCCACCTGGTCCTTCAATATCTCATCGAAAGAGAAGCCCCATCTTTTTACTCGCTGTTGGCTGGGCTCTTTGCTTTGGGGTGAAGGAAGAAGGTTTAAAGAAGATCAATACCAGAGAAAAGCTCGTGTCATATTCTCTTCAGTGACTCAAGTCTGTTTTGCAGTCACTCACCAAAGGGAAACATCTCATATTTAAGGGGCAGATTCTACAAAAGCTGCACAAATTCCAAATGCAGACTTTGGTACACCAACAGTAACCAATGATGAACAGTTTCTTTAAGGAGGCATGTTAAGTGATGGTTGCCGGCATGCCCTTCAAATGGCTGCTGTCTACCATGCCATTGATTAAACTCCCTGGACCATTCCTATCAATTATGGACTCAACTTTTGACTCTAATTTTTTCACTAGTACTATAACCCAGGATGCTTCATGGACCCAATCTTTCATCAAAACACACTATCCTCCACCTCCCACCCCTTCCTCAATCCTCAGGGGAGAAATTATGGTCCTGTTTCAAGCCAAGTGATGTACAACTGGTCAGAAATGTATTGACACATCCAGAGTAAAGCATATTCTCTTGTTAGAAGCAGAATGTTACATGCACTTATTGATTTAACAACCATGCACAGTGCTTACCGTGTGCTAGACACCGTCTCAAGCATTTTACATCTGTTAACCCACTGAGTCCTCACAACTGCTCTGTGAAAAATGTACTAGTATGATTCCCATTTTCCAGATAGGGAAGGTGAGGTCTCATGGTAGTTTGCCTAAGAATACACAGCTAGGAAGTAATGAAGTCAAGAATCAAATCTAGACAGCAAGGCTCCAGAGGGCACCAGGTCTTTTTTTTTTTTTTTTCTTGAGATGGAGTCTCACTTTGCCGCCCAGGCTGGAGTGCAGTGGCGTGATTGTGGCTCACTGCAACCTCTGCCCGCCGGGTTCAAGCAATGCTCCTGCCTCAGCCTCCCGAATAGCGGGGACTACAGGTGCGTACCACCACGTCTGGCTAATTTTTTTGTATTTTTAGTAGAGACAGGGTTTCACCATGTTAGCCAGGATGGTCTCAATCTCCTGACCTCGTGATCCACCCGCCTCAGCCTCCCAAAGTGCTGGGATTACAGGTGTGAGCCACTGCACCCGGCCCCAGTTCTTAATTCTGCCATGCTGCATAGCTCATCTTTGCTATGCTGTCTCACATTCAGACTAAAGAATGGGCATTGGTCTAATTCTTCTGGTGTTGGGCGATAAGAGTATTTCCTTCAGCTTCTGTCTTTCCATTTAAAGTTCACTTGCTGTATTTATGTCCTTGGCCCTTTAAACAGTGATAAGGTCCTAACTCACAAGTCACATGCTACAACTCTTCCCTATTCAAGGTGTGGTCTGTGAACCAGAAGAAGAACCATAGGCCCCACCTGCACCTGCTAAATCAGAACCTACAGTTCAACAAGAACCCTAGGTGATTTATGTCCACATTACAAATTGGGAAACATTGGTCTAGCAATACTCATTTTTCCTCTTTTAAAAAATAGATGCATATATTTTATTATTTCCAACAGACAGTAAGAGATTAAATCATGTTTCCTCTTATTATGGAGCTGACATATTCTCAATACTTGGAAAATTCCACTTAGTAAAAAAAAAAAAAAAAAAAAAAAAAAAAAAAGGAGCTTGTGTGCGTGGAAAGCTTGGGAAAGCAAATAACTGTAGACTGGCGCTGTCCAGTGTAATTTCCTGCAATGATGAAAATATCCCATAACCGTGCTCTCCAATATGGCAGCCACTAGCCCCATGTGGCTATTGGGCTGTTGAAAACTGGCTAGTGTGACTGATGAACTGAATTTTAAAATTCATTTAATTTTAAATGATTCAAATTTAAATTTAAATAGCTACATGTGGCTAGTGGCTACTATATTGGTATGCAGCTCTAGACATACCGCATCCAAACCCAACTACTTCTTCACCAACACACATAATCAGCAACAGCAGTATCTTCTAATTACAATGATGATGACCAATAGATCATGAGCCTGGAGGTCAGGGAGCCTCTGGCTTGCAACTCTGCATTTCCAGCATAGTCCAATAGGGTCATGGTGGTAGACTAACCCCATCAGGTCAAACAATGGGAGACTCCATGAAACACCTCTTCCAAAGTACCAGGCTAGGCCTTTCACAACAAGACATGAAGACAAATCCTGGATTCTCTCAAACGCAAGCCACAGACCTAATCAAACTCAATAACTTTCAAGGGAACCAAAAATACTGTTTGTGGAAGAATTCCCCTGGGGTTGAGGCTGGCAGTAAATTTAAGCCCCAGAGACTGCAGGACATTGTCTCTTTCTGCCAAGGTCATGCTATGACCAAGGATGGACCCAACCATTTACTCTTTACCAGAGGAGGATTCAGGGCTCTCCAGGGATGGTACTAGTGGCAGCTGTACTCGAATGAGGGCTGTGCCCATATTAGCAGCTGTAGAAATTCACTCAGACTTTGTAGTGACTGCCTCATGGATGCACACCCACCACCAGTGTCACCCCTTTCTGGTACCCAAGTGGTGAGTCCACATTCATTCCACCAGATTCCTTGGTGGTGGCAAGAGTGGGAGAAGGGCAATTTTTGGAGTGGGCCAGAAATCTTGGGGTGTCACTGTAGATGTAGAATCAGAGGGATGCTTAGGACAGAAGGTGGGGGTATCTGGAAAATGGCAAGGTCATAGTTCAGCAGAAATAAATGGGTCTAGAGAGACAGGATACCCTGGTGTATTAGCTTCTTAGGATTGCCATAACAAAGGACTAACAAACTGGGTGGCTTAAAACAGCAGAAATTTATTCTCTCACAGTTCTGGAGCCTAGAAGTCCAAAATCAAGGTGTTGACAGGGCCATGCTCTATTGGACAGCTTTAGGGGAGAACCAGGTCCATGACTTTTCCTTAACTTCTGATGTTGGCATTCTTCAGCTTGCAGATGCATCACTGCACTCTCTCTTCCTGTGTTTCTGTGTCTCCACATGGTGTTTGCTCTGTAAGTGTCTGTGTCTCTGCTTTCTCTTCTCTTTTTGTTTGAGATGGAGTCTCACTCTGTTGTCCAGGCTGGAGTGCAGTGGGGTGATCTCGGCTCACTGCAGGCTCCGCCTCCTGGGTTCACGCCATTCTCCTGCCTCAGCCTCCTGAGTAGCTGGGACTACAGGCACCCGCCACCATGGCCAGCTAATTTTTTTTTTTTTTTTTTTTTTTTTTTTTTTTTTTAGTAGAGACAGGGTTTCACCGTGTTAGCCAGGATGGTCTCGATCTCCTGACCTTGTGATCCACCTGCCTCGGCCTCCCAAAGTGCTGGGATTACAGGCGTGAGCCACTATGCCCAGCCTGCTTTCTCTTCTTATAAAGTCATCAGTCATATTGGATTAGGGGCCCACCCTATTCAAGTACGACCTCATCTTAACTAACTGCATCTGCAACAACTCTATTTCCAAATAAGTCAGATTCTGAGGTTCTGGGAAAGACATGAATTTTTAGTCGATACAATGTAACCATGTATACTTGGCTTCCCTCAACTATCCATTATTCACAATTGTATTACTACAACTGGATGATCCACATTTCTTCCTTATTTTCCTAGTACGATTTCACTACTGGGAGTCTGTTCTATTAAAAGCTTCCTAGATACATCTTCCCTATACATATCTCTTCTGTATCACTTGAGTATTCCCAATATCATCCACTTCAAGGTTTAAGAAAAGACTTGAACATGTTGTTACCACTGAATGGTCTCTTATGGTTATAAAATAATTCTGCAAATTAAAATATCTTTCAACATCCATCTCCAGGTAAGTGGTACAATAACTGTCCCTCAGCCAAATTCAAGCAAACAATCCACAGAAGCACAGTCTCTTTACATCCATTGTGTAGCGATATTTCCTTGGGACATATTCTCTAGTAGAGTTTTATGTCAGCATTTGGATTTTCGAGAGTTTATGCCATTGTCTTTCCAGCTATTTTTTTTTAGCTCTTTGAGGTCAGGGACCATATTTCATGTGTCTTTGTAATGAGCATAGGACTTTTCACATGGCAAGTGTTCAGCACTAAAATGAAATCAGTTTAGAAATGTGTATAGTGATGTGGATGAAGTGTCCTTATCCTGACAGTGTTTTCTAATCGCTAGCTGGATGCCTTTTTCTAACTCTTATTTGTCCTCTGTGCCTCTTCATTCTTATCAAGTTCCTGCCTCCCACTGGACAGCCCAAACCAACACATAGCAAAGCTCTCCAAGGGTGTCTGTCTTTCATTTCTGCTGATCCCCCAGCTAGAGATGGAGGAAAGTTACCAAACTGAGGACAAGAAAGCCAGATTCAAAGGAAGCAATTGTCTATATCAATGCTCATTTCTGCAGGAGCTTCATAGTGCTACACATGGTGTAAGGAGCTTTCCTTACAGTGCCCTATTTAAATCTTAATATAAGCCAGGGAGGCTGACATTGTATTTAAACATCCAGAGTTCAAAAGAGGTCAGATTGTCCAAGGTCACACAGCTGGTAGGTGGCAGCCAGGACCTGGATCCCAGGACTGCCTGTCTCCAAAGCCTATTCTTTTTTTCCACTCTGTTACCTTGCCTTCTACTACATTTGCCTCAATCAATATCTAAACTAAGACTTGGGGAATATACAAGCTATCTTCAAAACACTTAAGAATTATGTTAAGGACTAAATGTTTGTGTCCCTCTCCAAATTAATACATTGAAATCTTGATCCACAATGTGATCGTATTAGGAGGCAGGATATTTGGGAGGTGATTAGGTCATGAGTGGGATTAGTACTCTATAAGAGACCAGAGAGAGCTCCCTTTCCCTTCTGTCATGTGAAGACACAGCAGGAAGACAGCCATCTATGAACTAGAAAGCAGATCCTTACCAGATATTGAATTTGCCAGCACTCTGATCTTGGACTTCCTAGCTCCAGAACTGTGAGAAATAAATTTCTGTTGTTTATAAGCCACACAGTCTATAGTATTTTTGTAACAGCAGTCCTAACAGACTAAGACAGAAGTTCGTACTGTGAGTGGGAAGCTGCTGTAATGAACAACTAAAAATGTGAACGTGGCTTACAGTGTAATGAATAGAAGCTGGAAGGGTCTTGAGATATATGTCAGCAAAAGCCTAAATTGGCTGGGTGCAGTGGCTCACGCCTGTAATCCCAGCACTTTGTGAGGCCAATGCAGGCGGATCACAAGGTCAGGAGTTTGAGACCAGCCTGGACAACATGGCAAAACTCCGTCTCTACTAAAAATACAAAAAAAAAAAAAAAAAAAAAAAAAAAATTAGCTGGGCGTGGTGGTGGGCACCTGTAATTCCCAGCTACTCAGGAGGCTCAGGAAGGAGAATTGCTTGAACCCAGGAGGCGGAGGTTGCAGTGAGCTGAGATCCCGACACTGCACTCCAGCCTGGGTGACACAGTGAGACTCCATCTTGAAAGGAAAGGAAAGGAAAGGAAAGGAGAGGGAAGGGGAGAGGAGGGGAGGGGAGAGGAGGGGAGAGGAACCTAAACTGCTGTAACCAGGCCTTTAAAGGATATTCTGGCGAGGGCTCAGAAAGTAAAGAGGAGAGCTATAAAGAAAGCCTCAATCTTCCTAGATAATACCTAAATAATCCTGAACAGAATACTGGTAGAAATATAGATGGTAAAGGCCATTCTGATGAGTTTTAGACATAAATGAGACATATATCACCAGAAACTGGAGAAAAGTTGATCCTTGTTATAAAGTGGCAAAGAATTTGGCTGAATTTTATTTGGTTCTAGTATTCTGTGAAAGGTAAAACTTGCAAGCAACGAAATTAAATATTTAGCTGAGGAAATTTCTAAGCAATGTGTTGAAGGTGCAGGTTGGCTCTTCCTGACTACTTATAGTAAAACGTGACTTAAAGACAGAATTGTTAAGCACAAAAAGAAACCAGAACCTGAAGATCTGAAAAATTCTTTGTCTATTCATATGCAAAAAATGAGACCACTAATAGTGTGGCCAAGTGACTGTTTGATAAGTATATTAGTATGGATGAGTCATCTTAACAGAATCCAGGAACTATTCTTCAAGACAATGGAAGAATTACTCAAAAGCAATTCAGAGTTCATCAGGGCTGCCACTTGCACCATAGGCCCAGAGTTCAAGGGACATGTAGTAGGAGAGCAGAACAGTTTTAAAGGATCAACTCGTCTCTTCAATTTAGGTAGATCAGGATGCTCCTGCCCAGTGACTTGGGATGGGGTCCCCACAGAAAGCTGCAATATGGGCTGCACCCAGCAGAGCCATGGTGGACTGGGCTGCCCAGAAGAGCTGCAGGTGAGGAACCCCAGCCTGGGAAAGCAATAGGGACCCCAGGAGAAAGCTGCTGTAGGGCCATCCCACCAAGCTGTGGGGATGATGCTGCCACCCAAATGGGCCTGGAAGACCAGAGCATCAGCCCAGGAAAGCCATGGGTGTATGACTCCAGCCCAGGAGAGCTATGGAGGTGGGGCTGCTGCCCCAGTGGGTCTAAAAGACAGAGCATTGAGCCAAAGAGAATTATTCCTAGAGCCTTAAGGTTTAATGTTTTCTGCCCTGTTGCATTTTGGACTTACTTGGAACCCATTACCCATTTCTTCTTTCCTATTTCTCTCTCTCTCTCTCTCTCTTTTTGAATGAAAATGTCTATCCTATACCTCTCCCACCATTGTAGTTTGGAAGCACATAACTTGTTTGGTTTCACAAGTTCACAGCTGGAGAAGAATTTGCCTCAGGATGAATGGTATCTTTAATCTCATTCATATCTGATTTAGATGATATTCAGATAAGACTTTGGACTTCAGAATTGATGCCAGGACAAGTTAAGACTTCGGGGACTACTGAGATGGAATGAATGTATTTTGCATGCAAGATGACATAAATTCTGGGGATCTTGAGGTAGAATGTTGTGGACTGAATGTCTGTGTTCCCCTTCAAATTTATATGTTGAAATCCTGACCCCTAATGTGATGGTTTTGGGAGGTGAAGCCTTTGGGAGGTAATTAGGTCACGTGGAGTGGGATTAGTGTCCTTATAAAAGGACACCCCAGAGCTCTCTTGCCTTTCTGCCATGTGAGGACCCAGACATTTATGAACCAGGAAGGAGGCCCTCACCAGACACCCAATCTGTGGCATCTCGACCTTGAACTTCCCAGCCTCCAGAACTGTGAAAAAAATTTTTATATTGTTTTTAAGCCACATAGTATATGGCATTTTTGCTGTAGCAGCCTGAACAGACTAAGACAAGTTATTAGAAAAATTACGAAATAAGGCAATTCCTTAAAAAGAAAATAATCCAATGTCCCCATCTCAGAGCCAAGGCTACTAAAGAAACAATCATAATTTTATTTAATACCTCAAGAACAACCTGAGGGTCCTGAATACTCCAATGAAGAGTGGTCCAGTTACTTCTTTTTCTTTTCTTTTCCTTTCTTTTCTTGAGATGGAGTCTCACCCTGTCGCTCAGGCTGGAGTGCAATGGCACGATCTCAGCTCACTGCAACCTCCGCCTCCCAGGTTCAAACTATTCTCCTGCCTCAGGCTCCCGAGTACCTGGGATTACAGCTGCCTGCCACCATGCCCAGCTAATTTTTGTATTTTTAGTAGAGACGGGGTTTCACCATGTTGGCCAGGCTGGTCTCAAACTCCTGACCTCGTGATCCGCTTGCCTCGGCCTCCCAAAGTGCTGGGATTACAGGCATAAGTCACCGCGCCTGGCCCAGTTATTTACGCTGTGTAACAAACCATCCTAAAATCCAGGGGCTTAAAAAAGCCATTTATTAGTCTCTTTCACTCTCCTATGGGTTGACTAGGCTCCACTGGGTGGTTCTCACTTGGGGATCACATGGTTGTAGTTGGATGGCAGCTGGAGGTGGGGTCATTTGGAGATTTGACTGGGCTGTGCATCCAGGAGGGCTCATCACCTAACAGCTGATGCTAGTTGCTGACCAGGAGCTCAGCAGAGGCTACTGACCAGACTGTCTGCACATGGCCTCTCCAACGGCTTGGGCTTCTCCAAGCATGGCAGATGGATTCCAAGAAGGAATGTCTCAAGAGCAAATATTTCAAATGACCAAGGTGGAAGCCACCACAGGGGTTCTGGATTACTGGTTCTCAAATAGTTTGAGAGAGGGAAAAAGGTGCTCCCTCTCTTTTCATCTGGCCTTGGTCTTGGTGTCCTACTTGATGTAAAGAGGGAAGGCACCAATGGGGCCATATTTGGAGATCCACCACCATAAGAAAGGAGCTTGACTAATATTCCGGATTAATAGTTCTGTCAAACTCGCTGTGCATGGGCAGCTCAGGGATGATCTCTGCCTCTCAGCAGGTCAGGTTGGCTGGGAGTGAATGCCTACGGCCAAGCTGGACAAGCCAGGTTCCTTGTAGCTCTTTGCTCATGTGCCTGATACCCAGCAGAGAGGGAGAGCTAAACTGAAGTCATGCGGAGAGAGCAAATCACAAACCACATTCTGCTGACAACACCAGGTTTCATTAGACTCCAGCATCTAGTTAGTGGCACCACCAGAAATACTTTACATACGTATCCCTGGGACACTCTCCTGGTGGTTTTCAGATGACATAAAGAATTACGTCATCTGGCAACTTTTGACTGACTTCTCCTCAATGAGAAGCCCTGGCAATCACTATTTTCTTTAATTAAACTTTACTTCTCAGAATTTACTCTTTTTCTTTAGGGGTCTTGTTCTGTCACCCAGGCGGGAGTGGAGTGGTGCGATCACAGCTCACTATGTTGCATAAACTTGAGGTGTAGTTTGCCCATCCTTTAAAACAGTTGCCTTTTTTTCCCCTCTGAATATAACTTTCTTATCCTTGGACTTCCAGATCGAATAGCTTGTCTGAGAAGGAGAAAGAATTAAAGCACAATTTTCTGCTATTTATTGTATATCCTATGTCATCTTATCCGTGATTCTATTCAGCTGCTATGGCCATCCTCCATTTGGCTGTCTGTAACCTCCCCACGGCAGACTCAGTATATTCTCCACCTTGCAGAATTTAGACATTGTCGGTGACATCCTGGGCCCTGGAAATCATAACGAGCCTGCCTGGACCCCTTCACCCAGCCCAGTGAAGTCCAAAGCCCACCTGAGATTGGCAGGAATTCCTAAGGGAGTCCTGCATTCTCACTGTCTCTCCTTTCCCACAAACCTTCACCCACACCCACCAAACCCCTCCTCTCATGAAGCGTTTGGGAGGGTGGGGGCCTTACAGGAATTTGAGGGTCTTGAAAAATGGGTACATATCGCACCTCCTGGCAGCCTACTATTTAAAAAAGCACATACTAGACATTCCTGCTTTTGAAAAGTCCCTGGTCACCTCAATGCTAGGCATTTCCCTGGCCTTGCACAGAGACTTAGTTTTTGTTGGCCTCTGGCTTCTCTCCCTCCCCTGCTTTCCCCTGCCCTTAGTTCTCCCCTCTCAGGAACAGAGAATACATTTGTCTCGTTTTCTCAGCAGGACAGCACAACCCTCTCCCTTTGTTGTTTCAGTCTCTGCCAACCCTTCTGCCCTTAGGGCCTTACCTTCTGCCCCAAGTGGCTTAATGTCCTTTGCCAAGCAAGGAGGAGTTCTGGTGCCAGATGGTAAGATAGCATGTTTTATTTACCTTGCTACATTTGTTATCTTGAGAGCCCTTCTTGTTCAGAACACAGCACATAGTTGACTACTATACAAATGTATTGAATTAAACTGAAACCGAGAGAAAGTGACTCAATTATTTTATTGGTCATCTTCAGCCTTCGTTTTGTGGACAGAAACCATCCCTTGGCTGGAGTGTGATGTTGACACTGATTCCACCCTGTTTTTTCCTAACATCACTGCCAGCAACTAAGTGGGTAGGAGTAGTCTGTTGGGAGAAGAAACAGGGCTTCGTTTTCACTTGTATCTGAACACTTGATTCTGCCTGTAAGTGGACAGAACACTGTAGCTATCCTAGATTAGGCATGAAGTTCAGAGTCGAAGCTAGAACAACAGGAGTAGAACCAGGGCATGAGTAGTAGGGGGCAGGTAGCACCTCCTTGGGGAAAAAGTGCTGAATAGGTTGGAATAAACCAATAGGCCATGCGACCCCATTTTCCTACATGATTACATACTTCTTTGCTGACTTTCAAGAACAAAAGAGGAAGTTCATTTTATCATTGTGAATTAGGTTCACACATTTGCCTCTCCTCCTTTCCCAAATACCAATGAAACGATCAAATAAAGAATGACTTGTTCATCCATCCTCCCTCCAGCCCACACGGTGCCCGCTGTATGCCAGATAGGCCTAGGCGCTGAAATCATTCTATTTAGAAAGGGAACCAGGAGGAGGATGTGATATAGAACAGCTGGAGGGATGAGGTGGCCACTCTAGATTGGTGGTCACAGAAAGCCCTTCTGAGGAAGGGACACCAGTGCTGAGTGAGACTTGAATGAGAAGTGAAGCCAGCCATGTGAGGATCTGGGGGACAAGTGGCCAACGAGGAGGGAACAGGCAAAAGCCCAGAGCTCAGTTAAGTAAAAAAAAAACAACAAACAAACAACAAAAAAACCCCAAAAAAACTAAACACAGTATGTAGAGGCAAAGAAATTTCCTATCAGCAGATGAGAGCTTTGAGAAATTTCAGGAAGGCACGAAGCACATAGACTGAACTTGTGACATATCTGATCGACAGCAGCCTACGATTCCAGTGGAGGCATCAGAGAAGAAAATAGCTGAGTGTCCCCAACAGAAGCCTTGGGAAACCCCGAGCTCTGAGCAGCAGGATTGGAAGTGGAGGCAGTGGGTGGCATCAGACAAGGGGCATATGGAAGCAACTCAGGAACATGGATCAGGTTCCACATGGCCAAAAGGGTTTGCTAAGTTAAGGGGGATGTTTCCCGGCCAGCTTCTCATATGGACAGTAAGGCCAGAGGATTGTGTTCCTGCCAGCACAGCACACACACAGAGAAAAAACATCTTGGGAACCAGGGAGATTTTAAAGACACATTAGCTTTCTCCCCACCTCTCATTGGCTTTCGCAGATCCAAGTGGGTTCCCCTAAGACCCATTAGTGGAGGGAGAAGAGTCGACTTGTTGGGGAGTACCTTGGCGAGGAAATAGAAAGACATCAGAAACTCCATCAGGGCTTGACCCACAGAGTAGAACACTTGGCTGCAGGGATGTCACACTAGGAAGGGTGGGGGTCTACCTCCCCAAGACTCCCATTGCCACCTGTCTCACTGTAAGAGAGGGCCCAATCTTTTAATCTGTTCTTGGACCACATACCCGGGACCCAGAGGGGAACCTTGGCAATTGATCTATGCCCATCCATTCATACATTCAGGTGCAGCCCTGCTCCTGTGTGAACTGCTCAGGGGAAAGCCTGCCGGGGAACTCCGTGAACCAAACCAGGACTTCTTAAACTGTCGTGTGCCTCAGAACGCCTGGGGTGCTTGCTCAAGATGCAGACGCCCAGAGCCACCCCAGTATGCGTGTATTTTTAAAGAGGAGCCCAGGTGATTCTGATGCACAGCATGGCTTAGAACCATTGGCCCATACCATCACTGAGAGCACCCTCACCAGCTACTGATAGAGTCCTAGGCCATGGCTGCACATTAGACTTTTTAAATCTCCCTGATTTAAAAAGGGAGATTTAAAAAAAAATGTGGGGAGATTAAAAAACAATGTTCAATTGTGAGAAATTCTGAATTAATTGGCTGTGTGTGAGGACCAGGCATTAGTATTTTTTAGAAACTTCCAGGTGGTTCTAATGTATGGCAGGATTGAAAGCTAAGACCTTCATTTATAAAAATGAGCAGTCTTCCAAATAGCTGGGCATACAAAAAGAATGATCTGCTCTGAGCAGTGACCAGAGGAATGAATGAAACAATGAGCAGAAATGATGATTCTCTAATGAATAACCCCGAATAAAACTAAGCGGCAGAAATAGAGAGGAGATATGAAAATATGGAAAAAATATAAACTATGAAAAAAATCTATATCACATCTCCAGGGGGAGTAACATGATAAACACCAATAGAACAGAGCAGGCTACTAAGAAAAGAACAGTCCAAGAAGTATTAAGAAGTCTTGGAAATGAAAAGCTTGATTATCAACCACTCTCCCAACACTCAGTGGGAAAAGAAAAACTCTCTAAAGTATAAAATCACAGAATGGACACCAGTGAAAATCAAAGCAGTGATTCTGAAGAGCAATTCAGGAAATTGTATCCTTTGAATATAGAATAAAAAGACTAAAAGATGGAAATTATAATAGAGAAAATATAAAAGATGTAGCAACTCCATCCCAGAGGCCCAGACTTCTTAAAAAAGGATTTCCTGAAAAGTGAGGATAGAATGGAAAAAAAGCAGCAATAATTTTTAAAAAAGAGAAAAAAAATCCTGAGTTAAAGAAAGAGTTAAGTTCTTGACTTAGAAGGAACTACCTAGGGCTCATCAGAAATATTAGAAAGAAGATACGTACTATATACTAGTTATTCTTTAAATGTTCATAGAAATACAAGTTCAAAAATGTTGGTTTAAAATATATCAAGTTAACATACCTCTGGGAAGAATGGGATTTAAGGGAGGCAAAGGTAACTTCACTATTTTATATACTTCACTCTTGTTTGTTTAAATCGATGATGTTTTTAATTAAAACATTTAAAAGTTAATACAACTAGAATAGAAACTAGGGTTTTTACAAAGTTAATATAACATTAATAAAGTAAAAGTCAGGGAAGAGAAAAAGAAACAAGAACAAAGAATGAGATTCAGAAATATATCAGGAAAAAGATAAAATATATGATTCAAGTAAATGTGACTGTTTTATATCCAAATATCCAAAGCAAAACATATTGCTAGAATCTGTCTAATAAACATGTGAAAAGATTCTCAAGTATATTAACAAGGAAACAAAACAGTAAAATGAGAATTATTTTAACCTTTTGGATTTGCAAAGACAAAATGATTGATGATGCTTGGGATGGTAAGAATGTGGGGAAATGGGCACTTTTAAGCTAAGGGAATGAAAAAGATGTGTTACAGTTTTGCTCAAGAGGAATCTGGACCTACGAACTAAAATTAAAATATGCATACCATTTCTACGAATTCTACTCCTGGAAAATATATACTGATGAAATAATTGAACTTGTGTAGAAAGATGTTCCCGGAATCATTGTTTATGGTGGCAAAAAAGGAGGACATAAGCTAAATATTTATGATCCAGGTACTGGTAAAATAAATCTTACTTCACCGGTGCCAGGGGATAGTATGTAGCTATTAAAAAGAGTAAGGTGGATCTATATGTGTTTACATGGAAAGACTGCCACGACCTATTGTTAATTTAAAAATTATTGGACTATATATATATATGTACATATTTGGGTATATATATTGAACCCAATTATACAAAAGGATAGAATGTTATATGTGCATAAAAATCCAAAGTAATAGACACTAAATCAGATGTTCCCAAATTTGCTGAGCTCATGGTACCCTTAGCGTCTCAGTAAGTTTTTCACAGTGCCCCTGGGCCAAAAGAAATACTTAACAGTGTCATTTATTATGGCTAGGACCAATCAACTTAATATGTATTTGTATCCTAACAACTTAGTAGCTGTTTGAAAGACACATAAATTGAAAATTTTGTTTTCATTCTTAAATAACTACAATATGCACCTATTGGGCACTACGCATTTTCTTAAATTTTGGAATTAGGTTGGAACTTACCGTCCCTATTTCTTATTCCATGTTAATTTTTGTGCAGTTCTTGCTTTTTATCATAGTGACTGCTCCGAAAAGCCAGATTTGCAAAGATGCGTATCATCATAAGGGATGTAACGTGCTCTAATGTTGAAACTGAACCATCTTAAGCTAGTAGTTTATGCAGTATCTGCCATGTGTCAACCATCGCTGTGTTTCCATAAAAAATTTGGACTATCCAGTGGTAACTCTGTGAGTTCCCCACAGTGCTCAGGGTGCTCTGATCCACTCTGGGAACCACAGCATTAGACTATAAACAAAGGTTCTTTCTGGAAGGTGAAATCGGGTTGGAGGAAGAGAGCATTTTCTTCTTTATGCACATCTGGATAATTTGAACTTTTTAGAATGAGCATCTGCGACTTTTATTATTTTTATAAGATTTTTTCCATTTCAGGAAAAGCAGCCAGAAAAGGGGCAAAAGTGAAAGACAATGTGAGTGACAGAGACATGAAAAGGGAAATAAAAATTCATCCAGCCAAGGTGCAGGGGGTGTGAAGGCACACCACACTAGCTTTGTCTGTGTGTTTCCTTCTGTAATTCTGAAAGTGGTCCAAGTCCCTCTGGGCTTTGGTTCCTCCCCTCTTAAGTAAACACAGTGGCTTCCCTCACAGGGAAGGAGAAACTGGCTGGAATCGTTGCTGGCAGTTACTCCAGAAGAACAGAGTGATGAAATCATGGTTCTGGAGCCCTCTGCCTGAGTTCTAGTCCTAACTCTGCTGTACTAGCAGTATGACCTTGGGCAAGTTCATTAACTCCTCTGTGCCTCAGTTTCCATAACTGCTGAGTGGTGAGAATAGTAATGTTTACCTGTCGAGGGGATTCAGTGAGAGACACTTACTGCAGGATGTGGCCAATGCAGAATACGTGCCAGCTATTATCATTATTGTTGCTGTCTAACAGGAAAAAAAATTGGAACAACAGATTCTTTTCTTCCAGCAATCAGAACTAGGGAATGGTGAGGGACTGTCTCAGTTATCATGGTATCCAAAGGGTCAGAGGGGAGCCACAAAGGATCCATGCACAAATCAAAGCTATAAGGAGGTAGAAACTGTAAGTAGAACTCAGCTGGGAGGCTACTTGAGGGGTTTCTGTTCTAGCGATAAAAAATGTCAAATTAAGATAGAATATAAGGTAATCTCATGATCTCATGGATTTTTGTCTACATTCATCCCACTCCCAAACCTTAAAACATTTTTTACCTCATCTCTATGTCCCACAAAGCAACGTCATCGCTGATCCAAGGGTTGGATGGCTCAGCTGGTGTTATCAAAGGGTCATATTCCACATATTGTTCCGTGTAGGCAATTAAACTGCAGGAGGGAGGCAGAGCAAAGAATGCCACTGATTTCCTTAGAAAACCCCTTTATTCTGTTTTACACAAACATTATAGCAGTCTTCACATAATTCTAAATTAAAGGAAAAAATTTATTTCCGCTCCCACTTCTGACACATCAAACTGTTTTCATTTGTCCTTATTTCCTTCTTATAACGAACATACCATTTTTGCACTGTTGCAGCCATGATATATACATGCATTTTATATATCTTTTCCTCACTTGATTCTTTACCTGAACCTTGGTGCATCTCTCCCTGGTTATGCTAGCCTTACTGATACTAATACACTGGTCAAAACTGTTTGTGTTCCACCCTCCCACAAAGACTGATTCTCGAGGCATCTGGAACACACAAAAGACACTACAGCTCCACCAGACTGCCAGCTCAGCATTCCCAACGGAAGGACTTTCTTATGATAAAGACTTTTAAATATCAGCAGACCACAAGGAGTAAACATTTGCATTTTTTTCCAAAAAAGCAACTTTTCTAGTTATAATTATGATCTAATAGATATGTTGATCTTATAGATTGATATAATTTATTTTAGACTAATTTTTATTCTTATCAAAATGTATGTGAATAGTTAGAATAATAAAATAGTACCAAATGATTATATATACTAAAAAAGCAAAAGCAATTATTTTTTCCTCCCATCCCTTCTCAGAGAGGCATCTACTTTCCACCTTATGTTTTTTCTAAAAGCTACCTATATATTTCTAAATTATACGCTTTTATATCTATTCCTGATTTTTTTATTTTAGACAAGAATTTATCTTTCTATTCACCAGTCCTCAACTCCCTCCTTTTCTTACGTGATCCTCCAAATAGATTTGTGTTACAATTTTTGTTAAATCAATGGTCAGTGTAACATTATTAAACTAGATAAAAATTGTTTGCTGTTCAGCTAAATATCATACTACTTTTTCCAAGCAAGTGTTTTAACAAACCTGTAAAACATCTAGCAATCATTTTTTTATACCTTAAACACATCAAATAATTGAGCAGTTCTGTCCTCTTGTTTCCCAGAGATCCTCTTTCCTGAAGTCTTTAGTCTTCTTGCTCGAAACTGGATCATTTGCTCTATAGACTTGATGGAAAATGATCTTTTTGGGACTTCCTTCACTTCTGTGTTGAAAAGCCCATGTTTCCTGGATTCCATGTCTATCTCTTGCTTTTACTCCCTGATTGTGTTGAAGCACATCCTTTAGTAGTTTCGTAATAAAGGATGCATGAGAATCCTTGCAAGTCTAAAAATGCTTTTATCTCCATACTTGACTGATAGTGCTAGACATAGAACACTAGGTGAAAAATCTCTTTCCTTTAGAAATTTGTAGGCATCACTCCATGTTTTTTTTTTTCTGGTATGCAGTGTTACTATTGAGAAGCCTGGATCCATTTTGATTCTCGTTCTTTGGTTCAGTTTCTTTTCTCTCTGTCAACTTAGAATCATCTCTTTATTGCTAGAGTGTTCTGCAATTTCATGATGGCCCTTGCTGGTTGTTGTTATTTACTATGCTGGGCACAGTGTGTGATAGATAAGAAAATAATTATCAGGAATTTTATAGTATTCATCACTAATTTTAAACCCTTTGTTTCCTTTGTTTGCTTGTCCTATATTTTTTTTTCCAGTTCAATATTGGACATCCTGAATTGTTTATTTTCCCTCCCATTTTTCATCTCCTTGTCTTTTTGTTAAACTCTCTTTTAACTATTTATTTATTTTTTAATTTTGAGCCATTACTTTCTAAGTTTCAGAGTTCACTTTTGGTTATCATAGTGTCTAGTTCTTGTTTTATGGATGAAATACCTTCTCATTTCTCAGATAATATGAGTTCTATACTTTTATTGTAAGTTTCTTCCAGTTGTTGAATTATTTTGGTTCTTCCAAGTTCCTTTTTTCTGTCGGTTTATTTTGATTATACTCTTTCACGCTGAGCCTTCCTGGAGTGTCTGGAAAATCTTTGGACATCCATTTGTACTTAAGACTGAGGTACTGAAACCTGCTTGGCGGCTCAGTGGGCGTGTGGATGGGGCTTGTCACTGATGGGCTTCATTGTCATAGGGAAGTTTACCAGTATTTTAATGGGAGCTCCAAATGAGGGATCTGGAGTCTTTCCTCTGGGGCGTCTATTTTTCCCTAGGGCAGGCATTGGCAAGCTTTTTCTGCAGGGCCTAGATAGTAAATATTTTAGGCTTTGTGGGCCAGATGGTGTCTGTTGCCACTACTCAGCTCTACTGCTGTGGCATAAAAGCAGCCATAGACAGCTTGCAAATGAATGCGTGTGACTGTGTTCTAATAAAACTTTATTTGCAAAAACAGAATGGAGTATGGTTTGGCCCACAGGTTGTACTTTGACAGTCTCTTGCCTGTGGGTATATATGTCTGGCTCCTGGAGGCCTGAGAGCAGGGTCGGGGAGGGGCTGAGGGTCTGTTGGGGCTCAGAACATGATACCCTAAAGTATAGTATGTTGGCATGCTGAGTACTTTGAACTAAAGGAGAATGGAAGGGCCTCAGAAGCCAAGGCTTTCACCTTCTCTCCTGCCCCCGTCTCCCATCCCTTTTTCTCCCCCGACGTAAGTCATAGAAACAAGAATTCTTTTTCGCCAAAGTGGGTCATAGAAACTAGAATGCCTCTCCTGCAAAGCAAGCCACAAAACCTAGAAAGGTCACTCGCTCCCTTCTCCCTTGAAAACCCTCATTCCAGAGAGGTCCTACCTGGGAGGTAGGAATGCTACTCAGAGACACTAAGAAGAATCTGAACAGACAGGCCTTGCTGGGTTTCCTCCCCTCAGTCTGTTACCAGTAGATCACACCCTTTTGTCCAATCACATTTCTACAAGGCTTCCCATTCTTCATGGAACCTAAGCACAAATACAGTTTTCCCTGGGTCTTTGAGTCTTCATTTCTGAAGGCTTCTGTGTCATGTGAAACTGATGAAATAAATGCATTTATGCTTTTCTCTTGTTAACCTCTTTTGTTATAGCAGTGTTGGCCGTAATCCTTATGGTAGATGAGGAAAGGTATCACACTTTCCATCCCTACAGGCCCCACAGTTCAGTGCGTAGAGCTTCCATTAATTCTCTTATTTTCAGGTGGCCTCTTATGAGATCTGATGTGTCTGAGATCTGAGCGTATGTGGCTCAATTTCTCTCAAGAAAAAACTGCCCATCTCCTGCAGTGGTGGTAGGTGGGAAGGATTGTTTCCTAGTAGGGCAGGAGATCTAGGGGTGCAAAGTCTCCTGTGACAGACTTGACCATTCCTCTGCTGTTAGCCCCATGCCTCATTCCTGCTTTCCATGGTCCCTAGTGCCTTCAAGAGCCAAGGCCAGGCTTTGTTGCGAAAACTGGCTCACTTTGTCACATCACTTCTGCCCCCAACATGTAGGTTAGAATGTTCTTTACTCTGTCCCTATGCACTTTCTTTTTTATTAAATTTTGAAATATTTCAGGCATACAGAAATGTATAAAAATTGTAAGATTTTACTTTGATACCTTGTACTCGCTGACCAATTAAAAAAATAAAAAATAACAAATACAGACATAGGGGCCTGTGGTTATGTTCCCCAATTACGTAAACTTTGTATCTTGGACAAATGTGTTGAAATTATTAATAGTTTGTTAACCTTGTGAGTTCATGCCATTTTTGTTCCTTTAGTGACATGTTGCATTTGAGGAAAGGGAGAAGATGAACATATGTCTACAATATTGTCTTGGTTGCATTGAGTGACTTTATTACAATTTACTTAATCGTTTCCTTTTTATTAGACACAGATTTTTTTCTTTTTTAATATACATAGTGCTGTGGTAGAACACCGTTGTTCACACAGATTTTTTTTTTTCATCTTCTGGGTTATTTATTTAGAATGCATATCCATAAGCAGAATTATTTGACCAAAAGGTATGAATATTTTTATGGTTATCGATCCACAATAAAATTTTTCCTTAAGCATTGCCAGCTTGTGTGTCAGCATCTTCTCCCACAACAGCAAAGTCAGAGCCACAATTCCTACTACTGAATTGCAAAGGGCAATAATGGCCAATTAGCTTAATGCTGAACAGGCAGAGAAATTAGTCAGAGGTGCCATCTCATGC
The DNA here is from genome assembly GCF_000001405.40 of Homo sapiens. NCBI lineage: Eukaryota > Metazoa > Chordata > Mammalia > Primates > Hominidae > Homo > Homo sapiens. The sequence continues at coordinate 72,491,032 of NC_000014.9, read as the reverse complement.
TACTGGAAGTGTGATCCATAAACCAGCTGCACTGGCATCACCTGGGAGCCTGTTAGCAATGCAGGATCTCAGGTCCCAGCCCAGGCCTCCTGAGTCAGATTCTGCTTTTTAATAGGATCCCCCAGGTGATTCATATGCACATCCAAGTTTGAGAGAACCATATCTCATTCCTCAATTTTCTGAAACATTCAGGACACAAGATGTTTTATTCATCAAATCAAAATGAAAGAGCCCCTGGTAATTTTGGTTTTGAAGATGGATGTAAATTTTCGGACACCTCAGAGCCTCCTCGCTGTCCCAGGTGTTTATCATGACCCCTGGGGTAGAAGCAGCAGTGGTCCCAGTTGAAAAGCCTTAGTTTGAATTCTTGGTTGAGTCATTTAACTGATCTTTGTCAAGTTCATCATGTTATATAACAGGCTTGTTGAGCACTCAGGACCATTGTGATAGAAAATGGGAAAGCATCTCCAAAGAATCTTGACAATCCTCTACAAATATAAAATAGACAAGCGAAACCACGGGCACACTAGAG